>NC_000002.12:27520871-27673621 GCF_000001405.40 Homo sapiens | reverse complement strand
CATGGTGGTGTGCACCTGTAGTCCCAGCTACTTAGGAGGCTGAGGCGGGAGGATCGCTTGAGCCCCGGAAGTTGATGCTGCAGTGAGCTGTGATCAGACCACTGCACTCCAATCTGGGCAGCATAGAGGAAAGAGAAGGAAGGAAGGGAGGAAGGAAAGAAGGAAGGAAGGAAGGAAGGGAGGGAGGGAGGGAGGGAGGGAGGGAGGGAGGGAGGGAGGGAAAGTAAGGGAAAGGAAAGGAAAAAAGAGAAGGGAGGGAAAGGAGGAAAAGAAAAAGAAAGAAAGAAAGAAAAGAAAGAGAGAGAGAGAGAGAGAGAGAAAGAAATTCATAAAGACCCAAATTTTAGAAAATTAGAAAGTAGACAGATGAGTAGAAACTAACTTAGCAGAATTTAAAAAGATAAATCCTAAACAGTGGGGAAAGCTGAGAGCCAAAGTGATTACACTGCAGAATCCTCAAACGGATCTGCAACTGGGGATGGATACTAAGGTTATGGAGGACTAAGTAAAAACTGGTTGAGAAATAGATCTTCCTCCCTGCCTACTCATCTCCTTTCCATCTGCAGTAGAAATCCAGAGGTTAATCTCTGGAAAGGGTAAAACAGAAAGCCTTTGGATTACGAGTTGACTAGTAAAGTTGAAGGCATGGGCACTATAATCTAAAAATAGTACTGTCCTGAAAACAGCTGAATGAGAAGCCACTCAGCCACCTTCTACCACTTAGCTCTAGGAATGCTGGCAGCCAGTCCTTTCGTTTCAGGCAGGAGATTGGAAGAGCACTCTCTGGGGAATCTCGCTCACAGACGAGGAAAACCAAAAGGATACTTAAATCAAGGGTTCCCCAACAAAAGGCCCACCCACATCATTCAATAGTACTGCTCAAAGTCAACAAACCCCACCTATATATTCCATGCAGAAACCCCACCTATATATTCCAAACTGTCAATCACCTTTTTCATCCCCAAATAAAAAAACTACAATGAAGAATTACATGACACCTAAGAAAAGCCTTTAACATGCAGAACAGAGACCACATAAAAAGAAAAATAACATGGAGAAAACAGAGAGGAGATATTTACAACCCATGAAACAAGAGGATATTATGTTTTAAAAAGGACAATTCAAAAACCAAAAATGAACTTTTAGAAATTAAAACCTTGGAGTCTCTGAGCCTTCTCTGGCATGAAAGACTGCCTGATTTTAAAAACTTTAAAAAAAGAGAAAGAAATTAAAACCTTGATGGCAAAATAGAGAAGACAGAAAGATAAAGGTGCAGAAATCTCTCAAGAAGGAAAAGACATACAGATGAAAAAAAGAAGAAAAAAAACTTAAATGGTCTGTCCAAGAGGTCCAATGTCTGAATAATAAAATTCCATAGAAAACAGAGGGACGAAACAATTAATGACATAATTGCAGAAAACTTCCTGAACAGCCAAGGTTTCTAGATCAAAAGGATCCAACAAGTACCCAGAAAAATGAAGAAAAATAGACCCACAGAAAAGTACTTCATAGTTTTAGAACCTTTAGAACAAAGGGAAACTCTTACAAGCTCTGGCAAGGCGGAAAAAAAAGATGACATACAATAGGATCAAAATCTGAACAGTTTAGGATTTCTCAAAAGCAACACTGAATGTAAAATAAGAAAAATTGTTTCCAACTTAGAATTGTATTCCCAGCCAAACTATTAATCAGGAGTGAAGCTACAATAATTATATTTTCAGAAGAGAAGGATTAATAAAATTTATTTCCTATACACTCTTTCTCTGAAATCTACTAGAGGATGTCCACCAAAACAAGAGAGTAGACCAAGAAAAGGAAAGATGTGAAATTCATTGAAGACTATCATCACCCATGCCCTCTAGTGTTGTACCAGCTTTTTAATCTGCTAAAAGTACAGAAGGATGTACTACTGTGCAAGGAAATAAACCAAGAAATATGAGAATATGAGAATCAAGAAACAGAAAAGTCAACCCTGGAGAAAGGACAAAGAAATCTTAAGGATGATAGGAAAGTTAAGTCCCAGGTGACAGTTCTGTAGCAGATCTGCAGAGCAATAAGCCCTGAAAGAAAAATAGTGCTCTTCAGAAAAAGTGTCTCCAAAACAAATCAGAACTGATAAATTACTTAATCATTAAGTTGTTTGATGTGGTGAGGCTACTGAAAGGTGTGGGAGGAATGAGCAAGAAATACAAAAAAGCCCCAAACACATGAAAAGCAAACGCAATTATTACCCTTAGGAAAAACAAAAAGAAATAAAACTGCTCAGTTATAACTAATATTTGCATAAGCATAATCACGTAAATACTAAATACTAATTTAGCAGAGTCGACAGGTAACGTCTAAAATAAGTGACTAAAAATATAACACCATACTCTTGTTCTTAGAAATACAGGTGTTTTTAGGCTGGGCGCAGTGGCTCACGCCTGTAATCCCAGCACTTTGGGAGGCCAAGGCAGGCGGATCATGAGGTCAGGAGTTCGACACCAGCCTGGCCAATATGGTAAAACCCTGTCTCTACTAAAAATACAAAAATTAGCTGGGTGTGGAGCACGCACCTATAGTCCCAGCTACTCAGGAGGCTGAGGCAGAAGAATCACTTGAACCCGAGAAGCAGAGGTTGCAGTGAGCCAAGATCATGCCACTGCACTCCAGTCTGGGTGACAGAGTGAGACTCCATCTCAAAAAAAAAAAAAAAAAAAGAAAAGAAAAGAAATACAGGTGTTTGTTGTTTTTTTTTAAATTTAATTAATTATTTATTTTTGAGACGGAGTCTTGCTCTGTCACCCAGGCTGCAGTGCAGTGGCGCGATCTCGGCTCAATGAAAACTCTGCCTCCTGGGTTCACGCCATTCTCCTGCCTCAGCCTCCCAAGTGGCCGGGACTACAGGCACCTGCCACCACACCCAACTGATTTTTTTTTTTGTATTTTTGGTAGAGACGGGGTTTCACCGTGTTAGCCAGGATGGTCTCGATCTCCTGACCTCGTGATCCGCCTGCCTTGGCCTCCCAAAGTGCTGGGATTACAGGCGTGAGCAACCGCGCCCGGCCAAGAAATACAGGTGTTTTTAAATGCCAGAATAAATAACTGAAAAAACTGAAAGCCTTTAGGGAAGAAGACTGAGGATGGGTAGGGCAAGGAACAAGTATATTTTATTATAAGCCTTTTGGTAGTTTTGAACCAGACATAAGTTACTTTGCAATAATAAAAATATAATATAAGCCTTATTAATAAATGATGCTCTACTCAGACTTTAAAAAAAAAAAAGCAAAATACACAATTAATGTATTGATACATATTAATGTATTGATGTAATATTCGTGATACGGCCAGGCGCAGTGGCTCATGCCTGTAATCCCAGCACTTTGGGAGGCCAAGGCGGGTGGATCACCTGAGGTCAGGAGTTCGAGACCAGCCTGGTCAACACGGTGAAACCTCGTCTCTATCAAAAATACAAAAATTGGCCAGGTGCGGTGGCTCATGCCTGTAATCCCAGCACTTTGGGAGGCCGAGGCAGGTGGATCACCTGAGGTTGGGAGTTCGAGACCAGCCTAACCAACATGGAGAAACCCCGTCTCTACTAAAAATACAAAATGAGCCAGGCATGGTGGTGCATGCCTGTAATCCCAGCTACTTGGGAGGCTGAGGCAGGAGAATCGCTTGAACCCGGGAGGCAGAGGTTGCAGTGAGGTGAGATTGCGCCATTGCACTCTAGCCTGGGCAACAAGAGTGAAACTCCATCTCAAAATAAATAAATAAATACAAAAATTAGTTGTGCAGGGTGGTGCAACCTATAGACCCAGCTACTAGGGAAGCTGAGGCAGGAGGATGGCTTGAACCTGGGAGACGGAAGTTGCAGTGAGCCGAGATCATGCTGCTGCACTCCAGCCTGGGTGACAGAGTGAGACTCCATCTCAAAAATAATAATAATAACAACATCCATGATACATTCTTATGTTAAAAAAGTAAGTCACAAAAGATTGTAATTAATATGACTACATTTGTGTATGAGTGTTTTTTGTTAAAGGATCTAGGTCTCAGCACACATCTATATATGCATAGAAAATGTCTGGGAGAATATAAACAGTGGCTACCTTAGGGTATTGAGAATTTTTCTCTTTTCACTTCAAAAAATTTTGTACAATTTACATTTTCCCCCCATAAAGAAGTTTTATTAGCGTTTGTGTTGAGTTTTCCTTTTTTTAAATCTAGAAAAAAAGGGCTCCTATATACTGACCTGCTTCCTGCCGAAGCAATCCCAAAGTGTCAAGAATCCGACAAGCTTCCAATGAGCACTGGATCATTGCTTCTTTTTTCTTTCCTGAGTGAATGGCCTCAGCCACCAGTTGTTTTCCAGTTGAATCGTCCACAGGTAATCTTCATTGATTTGGTGGGAATTATAGCACAGCATTAAGCTCCAATTCTCAAGAAAACAACTACTATGCTATGATAATAGTCATTTTTTTTTTAGATGGCCTTTCAGTCTTTGAATCCATCTTGTTCTATCTTTCCAATGTTGGATTTAAAATATTTTCTTTCTATTTCTTACCCATCCCACCCCACTCTCCAATAATATAAGGGTTACTAAACGATAAAGGCTCAAATTTAGAAATAGCTTAAACTTAGATGAAAGTTACTCTTTGGGTTGTTATCTATAACCATACATTAAACCTGAAATTGGCCATTTTCCAGAAAAGAACATTAATAAGAAAAGAGCATACCTCACCCTGCAGAGCCAAGTGCTATGTCCCTGTTCATCAAATTCATATTCTAATTCTTCTCCTGTGGGAGAAAGACAGACAAAACAATTTTAATAGAATCCAAAAATTACTAGTTGATACAATGATAAATGAGAACAAACGTTAAATACGAACAAGTTCCTAGCAGTGGCTCACGCCTGTAATCCTAACACTTTGGGAGGCTGAGGCGGGATGACAGCTTGAGTTAAGGAGCGCGAAACCAGTCTGTGCAACATGGCAAAACCCCATCTGTACAAAAAATACAGAAATTAGCCGGGCATGATGGTACGTGACTTTTGTCCCAGCTACTACGGGGGCTAAGGCCGGAGCATAGCTTAAACCCAGGAGGTCAAGGTTGCAGTGAGCCAAGATTGCGCCATTGCACTCCGGCCTGGGCGACAGAGTGAGACCCTGTCTCAAAAAAAGAACAAGTTCTGGCTGGGCGCGGTGGCTCACGCTTGTAATCCCAGCACTTTGGATGGCCGAGATGGGAGGATCACGAGGTCAGGAGATCGAGACCATTCTGGCTAACACAGTGAAACCCCGTCTCTACTAAAAATACAAAAAAAATTAGCCGGGCGTGGTGGCGGGCGCCTGTAGTCCCAGCTACTCGGGAGGCTGACGCAGGAGAATGGCGTGAATCCGGAAGGCGGAGCTTGCAGTGAGGCGAGATCGCACCACTGCACTCCAGCCTGGGCAACAGAGCGAGACTCCGTCTCAAAAAAAAAAAAAGAACAAGTTCCCATACCACACTGAATAATAAATTTCAATGCATTTCACTTCTCATTCCTAGGGATTATTGTCTGATAATAAAATTAGAGTAAGTCTGAGGCAGAGAAAAAAACAAACTCAGATCAAAGTAACCAATTCTCCATACATAGCTCTGTTCACTGTATAGTATGTTTCACTTTTATAAGTTGTAGACTTTAGTGGTTATTTTAACACAGTTGCCTGGTTTTTAGAAGCACAGATATTAAGTGCACAGCTATTTCATATATTATTTATATATACATATAAAATATATACAGATATACATACATATACATAGATATTCTCTCAAAGTATTCCTACCAAAACAATCCTCTATGGAAAAAAAATTTTAAATCATATAATATAAAATCAAAACCTATGTTAGGAATTACAAAAGATCAGGTGAATTCGGAATTAAAAAACTACAGGAAGTTGGCTCAATTTCCCCACCACCAAAGTCCAGGATCTTTTGAGAAGAATGAGATGAGTCAGGAAAAAGTACTTCCTTTTTTTAAGATAAGAAGAAAGACTAACAAGATTTTTATGATTTTTTTCCCCTCTGCCATACTAATGAGGAATAATTTTCAAAATAAACCTAAAGCAACTGACCACAAGAGTAAAAAGTGAACAAGAAGGACAGCAATAAAATTATAGCATATCTTAGTATAAAGCTCAACATGAAGCTCTAGAAAACCACACTGCTCTGGATATGTTTTAGTGGTAGGGTCAGAATCTGTTTACATACCTTCTCGGTCAAAAAAGCCTTGGAGAGCCTTTTTGGGATCCTTTATATAAAAGGCCTCCCTTTCCTGCTGAAACTCTAAGACAATAGGGTTCTCTTCAGCATCATCCTCTACTGCATCTTCTCCTACAGGATATGGAAAAGAAAGAAAAGATAATCAGACATGAGAAGAGACTATTTGAATGATACCCACTATTCTCTCAGGCTGCATAAAGATATAGTTTAGGCTGGGCGCAGTGGCTCATGCCTGTAATCCCAGCACTTTGGGAGGCCAAGGCAGGTGGATCACAAGGTCAGGAGTTCAAGACCAGCTTGGCCAACATGGTGAAACCCCATCTCTACTAAAAATACAAAAAAAATTAGCTGGGCACAGTGGCGGGTGTCTGTAATCCCAGCTACTTGGGAGGCTGAGGCAGGAGAATTGCTTGAACCTGGGAGGAAGAAGTTGTAGTGAGCCAAGATCGCGCTACCTGCACTCCAACCCAAGCAACACAGTGAGACCGTCTCCCAAAAAAAAAAAAATATATATATATATATAGTTTATCTGTGATGAAAAATAATAAATACTTGCAGGGACAGGGGGTGGAACAACCACCACAAAACCACTAGTATGAGCATATTCAGGTTTTCTAAATTGTGTGACAAGTCAAAACTTGTTTTCATGGCACCTTAATTTTTTTTTCTCCATCATTATATTTTAAAAGTAAAATTACCTACCACATTGTGGAAAAAAAATTTGAGCTCCTCAGCCTGGCATTCTTGTTCTCTCACACTCATATCTAACTTTCGTTCCCAATATAATTTCCTAATACTTCTTATATCTGCCAAATAGACTGGTCTACTCACAACTTCCTTAAAATCATCAATTCCTACCCTGAATACCAATCCCAATACTCAGCTTCATAAGGCTTTTCCTTTCCTTCAAGTTCCAGCTCAAAATCCTTATGCTCATAAAGCTTCCCTGTGGAGTGCGATCGCTCACGCCTGTAATCTCTACACTTTGGGAGGCCGGGGGGCGGGGTGGGGGGGGGGGGTGGGGGGTGGATCACAAGGTCAGGAGTTCAAGACCAGCCTGGCCAATATGGTGAAACCCCATCTCTACTAAAATAAAAAAAATTAAGTTTCCCAAAGATCTAAGTCAGTGCTGTCCAACAGAAATATAATGACAGCTGTATGCGTCATCTTAAATTTTCTATTAGCCACATTAAAAAATTAAAAGGAAACAGGTAAAATTATTGTCATTTCAACATGTCATCAATATAAAAATATCATGAAAGAGATATTTTACATTCTTTTTTTCAGACTAAGTCTTTGAAATTCAGTGTGTATTTTGCATTTACAGCACACATCAATTGCAACTAGCCACACTGCAAGTGCTCAGTAACCACATGTGGCTAGTGGCTACCATATCAGACAACACAGGTCTAAGTCCCCAGTGACTGTTCTCTCTTCTCCAAACTTTCACTCTAGCATACTTATGGTTTCTAGCTTTTGTTTGGCACTTAGCACAAGTAATTTCATAATTTTTCCTATCTTCCCAACTATATATTAATGCCATCTTCTACCTTTTTATACTCCCATCTCCTGAATATCCATTTTCTAAAATATCTGGTGTTAAAGAAAGTTTATTATTTTGGCTAAGGGACCAGCTTTATCTGATTAGATATTCCACATTTCAGGATATCTTCACAAAGTACAAAAAATTCAAGAGAATATCCTATATTGAATAACATCCCATTTATTTGATTGAATAGAGTTCCATCCCCTCCAATGATAATCACATAGCACAAGGTCAGTACTTAATAAATATAAAATTTTAGAATTGTAAAAATAATAATTTTATGCTTAGGACAAGTTTTGAACAAGAGAGTGCATTAAAAATAAATTTTTAAAAAATCCAAAGTGCCTATAAGTCAATTTCTTTACAACAGTAAAGTCAGTGAATCTCTCTGGGTTTTGGTTACCTCATGTGCAAATTGTGTTTGCCCTATCTATCTCAAGGAGCCATGAAAAGCTGTATGATTTAAAAAAACATTTAAGGGTACCACTTGTAATGAACTTAAAATATTAACCTCCGGCAGCAATTTTAATTTCTTACCCATTCCCCAGGTGCAACCCATCTCATCATCTTGGCTACCAGCATTTATCTTCCTTTCAGAGGTATCCATTTCCTCTTCTTCATCTGAGTCTTCTCCTAGCATCTTCTTCTCCAACAATATTTGCTGCTGCTTGCGCAATTCCTTCAACTGTGTTACTGTTAACTCGGATTCTGCCTCTCGGTCTTCCTCTGGTCCCTGATGAACCAAGGAAAAAAAGGTTATTTATTTATTTAGAGACAGGGTCTTGCTCTGTCGCCTAGGCTGGACTGGAGTGCAGTGGCTGTAATACACCTCACTGCAGCCTTGACCTCCTGGGCTCAGGTGATCCTCCCACCTCAGCCTCCTGAGCAGCTGGGACCATGATGCCTGGCTAATTTTTTTTTTTTTTTTTAAGAGACAGGGTCTTGCCATGTTGCCCAGCCTCCTCTCAAACTCCTGGGCTAAAGCGATCCTCCCGCCTGGGCCTCCCAAAGTGTTGGGATTACAGGCGCGAGCCACCGCGCCTGGCCAAACAAGTTATTTTAGAGTTCGGGATTGTGAACATGACTTTCAGAAATATAGCAATGTGTACAGCCGTCTGAAGATGATAGGCCAGACTTGATTCCTTCACTTTCGTAATCGCTGAGTGGGAGATTCTTCTTCCTCATCCAAAGCTTAAGAAGCACAAGAACGCAGTCCAATGAACCCGAAATTTCAATTCTAGGTTTTTCTACCTACCTGCAGGATAAAGAGCCGGGTGCTGCCTCCAAAGCGAACAACATGCCCAACGTGGACTCGACAGTAGGTGCGAGGTGGGATGCGAGTTTTGTTGAGAAAAGTGCCATGGGTGCTTCCCAGATCGTAGAGGTAGAAGCCCGGCCCGTTGCTGTCGCATTCTCCGTCAGGGCCGGACGCCCTGTGCTGCAGCACTGCGTGGTACCGAGACACCGAAGGGTGCTCCAGGCACACGTCGCAGCCAGACAGCCTCCCGAAAAGGCAGTAACTCGTCCCTTTCAAGCTACGGGTGCCAAGGATAGTGCCGCCCTTCAGGGTCTCTAAGCTGTAGGGGGCTGTGGCAGGGCCACCCCATGGAGGCTCTTGGTAGGGGGGAGCCCGGGCTGGACCGCCAGGGGAAGAAACCGCTGTCGGGGGGCGCGACTGCTCCTCCTGTAGACTCCTAAAATCACCGCAGTCCGGCTGAGGAGGAGGGATGTCGGGCTCCCCAGAATTGGAGTCCTGCAACGCAGTGGGCCCTTCCTTCTGTACCTCCTCAGGGTTTGAAGAACTGCTGGCCGGGGCCTTACTCCGCGCCGCTGGGGACACCGGCAGAGCTGGCTTCTTGAAGTCCCCACTGAGGTCTTGCGACGCCAGGGTCTCTGACTGAGAGAGAATGTCAGCCATCCTCAACCGGTGCAACTTCGAAATCCGCTCCTTCGAAACCCACCCTTCGGTCTTTACGTTCCTGTCCACGTCCCACTCTCCCAAGCTCCCAGTGGCGTCTGTAGGCGGCGATGGTGAAGTTGCTCCTTCACGACCTGGAGCGTTGCGAAGTGGTGCTAACATGAGAAGGTCATAATATGAGAAAAACAAAACGGTTATCGGGATGCTGTGCAGAACGGGGACATATTTAGAGGTTACAACGGGATCGTAATGACTTCCTGTTGCATAGCTTGATTGAGAAGAAGCGCTTCCGGCGGTCTTAGATCACTAATCAACAAACCAGCTTTCGGGGTCTGACGCGATCCTTGCCTCAGGCCTCTCGAGGTCCAGACAGCCGCCCAGCCCGCTCTGCGACGCAGCAGTGAATAGTGTGGTACCTCCTTGTCTCGGTTCAGGTCCAGACCTCCCCGTCTTCCGGCTGCCCTGAACGTCAGGCGACCTCAGGACCCTGTGATTGGCGCCTGCGCCGGCGGACCGTGACCGAGGAAACCCCTGGAGGGACTTGGGCATTCCTTGGGCTCCGTGCCTGTTCTTCGTGCTCCTTTCGGTAAAGTAAGGGAAGAGGGCGACTTTTTTGTTATTTCGTTCATTCATTTATTTTTTTTCTGAAATTATTAAGGCAGAATAGTTAAGTGGTTAAGAGAGCAGACTCTGGAGACTGTCGATTTTTGACCTCGCCATTTGTGACATTGGGCAAGACACTAGGCCTCAGCCCTCACTCTGAAAAATGGGGATAAGATTATTAGCCTCATAGGGTTGTTGGAAGAATTGAATCAAACAATAAAGGCCAGCCAGACCGGTGGCTCATGCCTGTAATCCCAACATTTTGGGAGGCTGAGGCGGGAGGATTGCTTGAGCCCAGGAGTTCCAGAGGAGGCTGGGCAACATGGCGAGACCCTGTCTCGCCAAAAAAAAAAAAAAAAAAGAAAAAATCCAGGTTTGATGGTGCGCGCCTGTAGTCCCAGCTACTCCAGAGGCTGAGGTGGGAGGATTGCTTGGTCCCAGGAGGTTGAGGCTGCAGTGAACCATGACTGCACCACTGCACTCCAGCCTGGGCTACAGAGTGAAACCCTGTCTCAAAAAAGAAACAAACAAAAAAGGTGAAGTCTGGCATATAGTAAACATTCAACAAATGCCAGATATTTCTGTGTGCCTGGCCCTGTAACAAGACCACAGCCATAAGAAATAGACGGGCAGAAAAAATCTATTGCGATAAGTACTAATTAAAATCCAAGGATAACTGCTGTGACATAGACTTGCAAAGCACTGTGAGAATAGAGAAAGGGAGATGCACTGGTGAAGTGACGGACGGTGGGGACTTATGCTGTACTTAAAAATGAATATGAGTCTGCCAGGGATGTGCAAGGTTGGCAGAGCATTTCTGGCAGAGTTCACAGCTGAAAGTGTCAATTGTGGAAATGTACAGCATTCTCAAGAAACTGAGTAGTATAATGTTGTTAGAACAAAGGTAGTCATTTCACCCAGGAAGCTCCTCCTTTGTGCTTCCAGTACCCCAGGTCCATATACCTCTAGAACAGTACTTACCATGTTTCATATTGAAATATTCTGCTTCTGTTTCTCTTCCTCACTTCAGGGCAAGGATCTCACATTATCAGTCTTTGACCGACACAGAATGCCTGGCATTTGATAAATGTTTGTTGAACTTGAAGAGACATATGGACAATGAATCTGCAAAGGTGAGTTGAAACCAGATTGTGAATTTTGTTGAATGGTAAGCCAAGGAATTCTGACTTTTTCCAATAGGCAATGGGAAGCCATTTGATTTAAGTTTTAAAAAGAGTAAGTCTAGCAGCAGTGTAGAGAATAGATGACATACAAAGAGAGATTGGAGGAAGGGATACCAGTTAGAAGGCAGCAGAAATCTCTCACGTTCTATATGTCAAAAGTTGAAAGCATAATGCCATTTAGATTAATGGTTCATAAATTTTTCCACCAGGATCATGCCTAAGACACACAGAGTAAGAACCACTTCTTATTATCTTTAACCCTACTAGTTTTTCTCCTATTGATCCAGCACAGATGTATCAAGATACCTTATCATGCCTTGCTTATTGTTCAGGATTGAGCGTGATGGTAGTTCTGGTAATGAGTTAGTGAGTGAGATGGGAAATAGGGATACTAGAGCTCCAGATGCTGTTGTAGCTATTGGTCCACTAATGACCCAAATTCTACCCTGTGGTTCAGTGTAGTAGGAATTGTCATAGTATGACAATAACCAGCATCTAACAGTTACATTTCTCTTAATTTATTTAGGGAGAACACCTTTGGTCCTACAGTTTTGCTGACACTGACATTTTTCTAAGTGGTCACAAATAGCCTACTTTTTACATAAATAACTGGCTAGACCTCGTATTTTTCACTACAGAAGCCTATAATCTAAAGTTGCCAGGATTTAAACACATTACTTTTAGGTTATTGTCTACATTTATCCTGAGACCTCTTCTCTTCTTATTCCAAAATGTTGAGATACTGGGGAGAGATACCAATATCATCAAGCCAGACCAACAGAAGTTCCTTCGATTTGCTCCCACGGGAGTTCCGTCTGGTGGAAGTCCATGACCCACCCCTGCACCAACCCTCAGCCAACAAGCCGAAGCCCCCCACTATGCTGGACATCCCCTCAGAGCCATGTAGTCTCACCATCCATACGATTCAGTTGATTCAGCACAACCGACGTCTTCGCAACCTTATTGCCACAGCTCAGGCCCAGAATCAGCAGCAGACAGAAGGTGTAAAAACTGAAGAGAGTGAACCTCTTCCCTCGTGCCCTGGGTCACCTCCTCTCCCTGATGACCTCCTGCCTTTAGATTGTAAGAATCCCAATGCACCATTCCAGATCCGGCACAGTGACCCAGAGAGTGACTTTTATCGGTAAGGCAAGGCTTTGCTGTATCTTACTTTTCTCAAGTCATCTTCCCAACAACCCTGTTAAGCCTATAATAGCATTTCCATTTTCATGCGAGGAAACTGAGGATAAGAGTAATTGACTTGGCCAAGGTTTCTCCAGGTAATTAGTGGGATATCTAAGTTTTGAATGCCAGTCTTCAGAATTCAGGGTCTGTATTTTTTAATTTTTTGAGTGCTTACTATGTGCCAAGCACTTTACTAGGAGCAGGGTAATACACTGGTATGTAAAAAAGGCCATGGCCTCATAGTTCTTAGGATCTAGTCTTTCTATTTAATATAAAAAAAAATTATGGGTTTAGCTCGTTGTCTTCAAATTGGGATTCATGGACTTATTCTGGTATTTTTAGGAATCCGCAAGTCTACACAAGAATCTTTAAATTGTGTGTTTTCATTTTGATAACATAGTTCAAGAAATAATAATATAAGCTGAGCACAGTGGTTCATGCCTGTAACCCCAAGACTTTGGGAAGCCACGGTGGGTGGATCACTTGAGGCCAGGAGTTCAAAATCAACCTGGCCAACATGGCGAAACCCCATCTGTACTAAAAATACAAAAATTAGTCAGGTGTAGTGGCGCACATCTGTAGTCCCAGCTACTCGGGAGGCTGAGGCACGAGAATCACTTGAACCCAGGGGAGGCAGAGATTGCAGATCACTCCACTGCACTCCAGCCTGGGTGACTGAGTGAGACCCTGTCTGGAAAAAAAAAAAAAGAAATAATAATATAAAAATGTTATTGATCCCTGCTACTCAATATCTGGTCCAAGATCTGCAGCATCAACATCACCTGGCAGTTTTTTAGATATGCAGAATCTCAGGCCTCACCCAGTCCTGCTGAATCAGAATCTGCATTATAACAAGATCTCCAGGAGATTTGTATGTGCATTTAAGTTTGAGAAGCTCTGCTCCACATCCTCTGAACGTGACTGCCTTATAACCTAGAGCTGCTACTAGATGTCAGTGTGCAAGTTGTATTTAATGCCAATTACTTTTTTATTTTCATTTTGAAATTTGCCAAACCTACAGAAATGTGTAATAGTCAACAAACATCCAAATACCTTCACCATGACTCACTAATGTTTAACATTTTGCCACATTTACTTTCTCACATATGTGTGTGTATACACATATATACACACATATACAAACATACATATATGCATACTTGTATATGCACACATTTTTTCCCCCATTTTAAAGTAAGTTGCAGACATCACCATATTTCACCCCTAAATTCCTCAGCATGCATATCCTAAGAATAAGGAAATTTTCCTGCATAATCATAATACCATTACCAAAGTAAATGAACATTAAGTACCATTTAATAAGTTCATATTCACATTCTTCCAATTATCTTTTGTAAGTATATTTACAAAATATCTTTTGTAAATGTCTTTTCCCTCGAATCCAGGATCTAACAAAGATTCATGCATTGTACCTGGTTGTTATGCCTCTTTAGAGTCTTTTATGAGTTCAGGTCGCTTGTAGAATGTCCCAATTACTGGATTTGCTGATTATTTCCTCAAGATTAGATTCAGATTAAATATGTTCGGCAAGAATACTACAGAAGTGATATTATATGTTATTTATTACATCTACCTGTTGCTGGTAATACTATTTTAGTGGTTCCCAAACTAATGAGAAAAGTACAGAAATAGACTAAATACACAGGGGTTGCATTGCAGTTGGGCCAGGTGAAGGCCAGATTATATCAAGGTCCATTGTAATCAAAGGTTCTGAAGTCACTGGAATAATGAAAAGGGGAGGCATAACTGTGTTATTACATGCACAGCATATGCTAGCATAGACACGCCCAACTCAAAAAACTTGCTCTGTGGTGATCAATACTGTATTCACATATTGAGGGCAATTTAATTTCAACAATATAATGTTATCTATCATATTAAATTGATGCTGTTTATTCATTTTTAGTTTTGTATCAAATTTATATAGTAAGAGCCATGACCATCAAAAGTTTGTACCTGGTTTTATTTTATACATATTTAGGAAACTGTATAACAAAAATAATTTGCATCAGTTATGGGGGCACCAAAAAATTACTTTCCTTTGAAAGAGGTCCAGATATTATTCTAGGAAAGTGATATTGGTTTAGTTGTCTCTGTTTATTAGGTACTTATGAGGCCTTTAGCTTTTGGCCCAGAGACACTGGCCATGGAAATGATGAAGATAGTAAATGAAAAGTTACTTGGCAATTAGTTATCTTATTGTCAAACTATTATGTAAACTGCAATAGTTGCTATTGAACAGGTCAGAGTTTAGTGGGTGGATAACCACTCAGGCACTTTTGTACAGTGCGTGATGACACATGCCAAGTACGAACCAAGGAAAAATGATTTTCTGTGCTCTATTTTATTTTTATTGGTAAAATAAATTCCTTTGTCAGGGGTAGGCAGAAGCCAGTAGGAAATTTCAAGAGACAGGTAAATTATTAAAAGCTTCTTAAGTTATTTTTAGATCAAATAGCTTTCTTAATTTTTTTCTTGGAAAATTAAGATTTCTGCAGTAGTGATTAGGGGCAAAATGGTGTATTATGCAGGATACGGTTTCTGGAGTCAGAAGCTTTACCACTTACTAATTATATGTAAACAAATTTTGGCAAGTCAGCCCTTCTAAACCTGTTTCCTCTCCTGGCAAATAGAAATAATAATAATACAGACCCTACCCATTGCACAACACAGGATAGGATGAAAATGCTTTGTAAGCTATATATGTTTTAAATTGCTTTTATAAAATTGAGTTGACTTCCCTGTTTTGAAATGGTCCCTTGTAACTTTATAAGAATCTAAGAATCTTAAACTCCTGGGAACTGTGAAGAATCTCTTTATTGGAACTGTGAATTTCTAAAAGTTTGTATTAATATATTGCCCAGCATGTATGAAAACTAGGTTATGGTAAAATAATTAGAGCATCATTGAGCAGTGTCTGGGCTATACTGTTAAACTTAATCCTAAAAGTGATCAAAATTGAACAGTTGCTAGAAGGAAACTTTCTTTTCACTAGATATCCTTTTGGATTGTGTATTATAGACATGTATTGCCTATTCAAACTATGTCTTTGGAGGAGCTCAAAGATATGACCATGGGTTGCTAAGACATGCCCAGATAGCAGCAGGATGAAACTGAGCTATGTAACTTGGATGGAATTTCCCTGGAAAGCTAGGCCAGTGGCTTGACTGGAATTGTAAAACTCCTGGGGAAGACAGGAGGGGTCACCCCTTTGCAAGAACATTAATAACACCACCGTATCTCCACTTTCAGTGGGAAAGGGGAACCTGTGACTGAACTCAGCTGGCACTCCTGTCGGCAGCTCCTCTACCAGGCAGTGGCCACAATCCTGGCCCACGCGGGCTTTGACTGTGCTAATGAGAGTGTCCTGGAGACCCTAACTGATGTGGCACATGAGTATTGCCTTAAGTTTACCAAGTTGCTGCGTTTTGCTGTGGACCGGGAGGCCCGGCTGGGACAGACTCCTTTTCCTGATGTGATGGAGCAGGTATTCCATGAAGTGGGTATTGGCAGTGTGCTCTCCCTCCAGAAGTTCTGGCAGCACCGCATCAAGGACTATCACAGTTACATGCTACAGGTGAGGCGACCCTGTTGAAAAGTGGGCACAGATGTCTGTGCAATCTCGGAGTGTTCAGCAGGATCCCACAACACTTGGTCTAGAGTGCAGAGCACAGAGTCTTGGAACAGAGTGAACTTAACATACTTTTATGATGGCCCTAGCGATGTTCCTGGCCAAATACCATGGGTCTCCTTTAGTCAGTGAATGGCCACATTCACTGATACTTCCTCTGGAAGAAACTATCCACAAGTATATGGAATCTGAGAGAATGCAGTTAGTCTGATTTTATTCAACAAGTATTTATTGAGTGCCTGTTGAGAGTCGAGCATTGTGGGATTCAGCAGTTACTAAGTTACCTGAGTTTACATTGTTTTTGAAGGGAGACAAACACAAGTCAATAAATAACAATCAAAACAATTTCAGGAGCTGGGCATGATGGCACATGCCTGTAATCCCAGCTACTTGGGAAGCTGAGGTGGGAGGATTGCTTGAGGCCAGGAGTTCAAGACCAGCCTGGACAATATAGTGAGACCCCATCTCTACAGAAAATTAAAAAATAAAAATTAGCTGGACATGGTAGCTCATGCCTGTGGTCTCAGCTACTTGGGAGTGTGAGGTGGGAAGGTCACTTGAGACCAGGAAGTTAAGGCTGCTGTGAGCCATGATTGTGCCATTGCACTCCAACCTGGGTGACAGAGCAAGACCCTGTCTGAAAAAAAAAAAAAGAGAACACAGACCTACTGACAATCCTCCTGCCTCAGCCTCTCAAGCAGCTAATATAATGGTTTGACTGGAATTGTAATATATATATCTAATATAGCTGCTTGGGAGGCTGAGGTGGGAGGATTGTTTGAGGCCAGAAGTTTAAGACCAGCCTGGGCAACATAGCAAGACCCTGTCTCTAAGCACATACACAAAAAAATACAATTTTGGATAATGTTAAGTGCTATGAAAAAAACAGAGTAAAATGATATTGCCTGGAGGATGGGTTGGTGGGGGGTGATGATTTTGCTTGGAACCAGAAATATCTAATCTCTTCAGCCCTTGTGCTCTTAAGTCATTTGTTCACTGTTTCAGTTTCTGCAGGTCTAAAATATGATTAGGAATTTTTAACACCCAAGAAAAAAGTCTTTGCTAAGTGATCCAGATTTCCCACACCATTGATTATTCACCTAGGATACATATGTCAACTTTTTTTTCCCTTTTTTTAGACAGGGTTGCCTGGGCTGGAGTGCAGTGGCACAATCACAGCTCACTACAAGCGATCCTTCCACCTCAGCCTTCCAAGTAGCTGAGACCACAGATGTGAACCACCATGCCCAGCTTTTTTTTTTTTTTGGTAGAGATGGGGTCTCACTAGATACTGCCCAAGCTGGTCTCAGACTCCGAGGCTCAAGTTGTCCTCCCACCTTGGCCTCCCAAAGTACTGGGATGACAGGTGTGAATGACCGTGCCCAGCCTACTGTTAATTTTTATAGCCAAAAAAATGTAATCTTTTGTCCCAGTTCTAACACATTTTTTTACCTTTATGTAACTTTTAATTAATGACATACACATTCTCTGCCAAACCAATTTTCTTTACATATCTCTATCACTCATAAATGCAAACTCAGCACCTTAAACAAATCCCTCCCATTGGCAGTGAATGTTTTAAAATTCTGTTATTCATGTTCTGTTGGCTTTTCCATGGGACGTCACAAGCTGACTATCCAACTTGCTTTTAACATTTCCTTGGAAAATTGACTCTTGCTTGCCAACAGATTAGTAAGCAACTCTCTGAAGAATATGAAAGGATTGTCAATCCTGAGAAGGCCACAGAGGACGCTAAACCTGTGAAGATCAAGGAGGAACCTGTGAGCGACATCACTTTTCCTGTCAGTGAGGAGCTGGAGGCTGACCTTGCTTCTGGAGACCAGTCACTGCCTATGGGAGTGCTTGGGGCTCAGAGCGAACGCTTCCCATCTAACCTGGAGGTTGAAGCTTCACCACAGGCTTCAAGTAAGACAAATAAACTTACTCACTTTGATTCTGGGAGATCTGCCAATTTCAGTACTTTTTGCTTTTTGGAATCAAGCTCAAGAGGTAGAAGAACAAAAGCAGCAGTGGGCAGAATGGAAAGTCCTAAAACGAATACAGTTTCACCTATCTAGAGATCCCAGCATTCTTCTCTTTCTAATTAGTGAAGAGAGGATTAGCACAGCTTTACAGGCATTCTTTAAAATAATCCCTAGTTAAGATGTAGATGCAATGTGTTGTCACGTTGATTACCAAGGCTGATTCAGCTGATCCAGCTGGTTGGGAAGATATCCCCTTCCTCCTTTAGTATTTTATTTTTAGTATTCTGTATTGGTCCTTCCTGATGCTTGTACTTCATTGAATAAGACAGCTGCCAGATAGATGGGGGAGTGTTAATTGCTCAAGGATGTTCTCAGAGTTTGGCTTCCCTGCTAGAGTATTCTAACAAACTGAAGATGAAAGACATTGAAATAGGGCTTCCGGCTGGGCGCAGTGGCTCACGCCTGTAATCTCAGCACTTTGGGAGGCTGAGGCGGGCGAATCACGAGGTCAGGAGATCGAGAACATCCTGGCTAACACAGTGAAATCCTGTCTCTACTAAAAATACAAAAAATATGCTGGGCGTGGTGGTGGGCACCCGTAGTCCCAGCTACTCAGGAGGCTGAGGCAGGAGAATGGCATGAACCCAGGAGGCGGAGCTTGCAGTGAGCCGAGATTGCACCACTGCACTCCAGCCTGGGCAACAGAGCAAGACTCCGTCTCAAAAAAAAAGAAATAGGGCTTCCCAGTTAGAGGTAGCTGGCTTCTTTTTCCAGACTCTGTGATTACCTTAGGAGCCAGGACAACTGACTGGTTACGTGTCAGTTAGGTTGCAAATTAGTCTGGACACTCAGTTGTTTACAAGTATAAATTGTCATCAATGCACAAATGACTCAAATAGCAAATCCTCAAATGTGGTCTAAATGGAATTAGGTCATACTTTTAAAAGTGTTGGGCAGAGAGCCTTTCACTATGGAAGAATAACCATAAGAGAACAGCATTGCTAGAATACATAGAGAGATGCGAGGGCCAAAGAGAAATTGTTGCGGACTTCGGGACCATGTCTCTTCAAAGAAGACCAGGTAGAGAACTGCTGTTAGCATTATGTAGTGACCATTAACTTTTCATAATGCAAGAGATGACCAGAGACCCAAACAAAAGGCAGGAAAACAAGATGGCCCCATAAAAGAAGGAAGGAAGGACAGGCAAACTAAACAACTGAACAAGTCCTGTGGTTGTGCATGTCTTTGGGCTGTGAGACAGGGGATCTTTCCACCTGCCTAGTTTCACTTCCCTGGTTTAGGGGAAATGGGGGTGGGTGAGGTAGAGGAAAGAAAGGTAGAAGAAATGGAAAAGAAGATAATCAGAGCTGGTAATTTTTTGGGATGGTTAACTTTTTGAAGCAGAGAGTAACAACCATATTCTCCAGCCAAGTACAGAATCAGAGTGAAAACTGAGCTCAAAGCATATTAGTTGGTTCTGAGTGATATATTTACTCTTTGTTCTACACTTGGCTACACATATACACTTGGTGTATGTCCATCTTTCCTCTGTTTCTAGGTGCAGAGGTAAATGCTTCTCCTCTTTGGAATCTGGCCCATGTGAAAATGGAGCCTCAAGAAAGTGAAGAAGGCAATGTCTCTGGGCATGGTGTGCTGGGCAGTGATGTCTTCGAGGAGCCTATGTCAGGCATGAGTGAAGCTGGGATTCCTCAGAGCCCTGATGACTCAGATAGCAGCTATGGTTCCCACTCCACTGACAGCCTCATGGGGTCCTCCCCTGTTTTCAACCAGCGCTGCAAGAAGAGGATGAGGAAAATATAAAAGGAAAAGAGGGAGATGTTTTGTCCAGACCTACTAGACCCAACAGAAAAGGTTTTTGTATTAGAATCTGTTTCCTTAAAAATTGATTTGACTCCTGTTCTTAAACACAAGTGGTTTTTCCTAATTCCAGAGGAACTGGACGTCACCAAACAAGGTTGCATTTTACTTTTGCATCCAGTTTTTATAGTTTTCCACAACCAAGCCACCCTTCACAGATAAAATATGATGCTGGCATGGCAATCAGACCAAAGCACTGTCCCCAATTGTTGTCTTAACTATGACTAGACATGTTATACAGCCATTTATCTTGTACAACTGAGAAGAATCATACTTTGACCTACCTTGTAGAGATGTGAGGATTTAGATGTTTGCTAACTTCAAAACTGTGCTTGAATAGACTAATAATATATGCTCATATCAGATGTCAGTTTTCATTTAACTTGATTCATTTTTGGCTCAGGTCATTGGGAACCCATTACTAATACCTAACAGGAAATAGCTAAACACAACACACCTTATCTATTAGTCACCTTCTTAAAACTGTTTTTGCTACTTTTGAAGTGTCTTATTTATAAGATCAGAGGTCTGACACCTTTTTTGCTTAGACAGCTCTCTATCTCATCCATTTATTTTCTTCTCTAGACTTACTCCATCTCTCCTCATCCTTTTGCCTTTGTTATTTCTGCTCGGACTCACATACTTTCACCATATACATATTTTCAATTGTTTCTTTCCTTTTCTCCTTTGTGAGCAAAGCAAACAAGTACTGTCCAAGGACAGCCTTGTGCATATTTCATTTGTTGCATTTGCTTGGTCATCAGAGGACAGCAGTCCATTAAGCACACTTTGCTGCTTCTACTGTAAAGGCAGCCTTTAAAACATAGCAATATGCACCTTTCAACTTTACATCATGTCCTGAACAACATCACTGTGGTTACTCATCCATCAGACTATCTGTATATATAAGTACTGAATCAGTATTTATTAAGTAAATGATGTAGCACTGTAGTGATTAGGAATCATTAGCAAATGTGTTGCTTCATGCCTTGGTGATGGATGCCAGCATGTTAAACTGCTGAAGTTTGATTTTCTGATGCAAAATATATCTTGTAAAATTTAGACCACTCCTTTAATGCAGACCAAAATAAGGCACAGCTTTAATTCATTATTGAATGCCTTAAATGTCCCAGGTATTGAGAATAAATGAATATGATACAAATGAGGTTATAGTTTAACATATAATTTTAAATTTGCCAATTGTAACTCTTTAGCACATTTCTCTAAACCCTTTCTGTCACAGTCTTTTTTTTAATTTATTTATTTATTTATTTATTTTTGAGATGGAGTCTTGCTCTGTCACCCAGGCTGGAGTGCAATGGTGCAATTTCGACTCACTGCAACCTCTGCCTCCCAGGTTCAAGCGATTCTCCTGCCTCAGCCACCTGAGTAGCTGGGATTACACGCACATGCCACCACACCCAGCTAATTTTTGCATTTTTAGTAGAGATGAGGTTTCACCGTGTTGGCCAGGCTGGTCTCAAAACTCCTGACCTCAAGTGATCTGCCCGCCTCGGGCTCCCAAAGTGCTGGGATTACAGGCGTGAGCCACTGCACCTGGCCTCTGTTGCAGTCTTATCTTCATTTTCCTTTGTTTATAATGAAAGTGGCGATTAGGCAGTTAGTTTCCATAAAGTGGCCGTATGGGAATTTAGTTCATTCATCCAGCAAACATTGAGTACCAATTATTTGCTAGGTCCTGTGCAAGGAATACAAAAATGATTAAGACTTCTTCCTTACCCTTTTGGAGCTTGAAGCATAAGGAAGACAAGTTATTCTGTAAGGAAGATAAAGCATTCAAAAGTACTACAGAGAAAAACCAAGTATGCTTGAGTTTTGCGAATGTTCTCCTCTTAAAGAATAGCTTCAAATTTTGAGACCAGTGGTTCCCACTAAGTATAGAACATTAAAATTAATACTTTATAATAAAACACTTTTATTGCTGCAGAATGTTAAACTGCATAACAGGCACCAGATGGTCAAGACGAGGGAAATATGAGAAGGCAAATGATGTGAGGATTAGTATCTTGAGATTCACCTGGTCTGGAATTATGTCATAGGCTACTATGCATCAGAATCACATGGAGGGCTTTCTAAAACAGACTGCTCAGCCCACCCCCAGGGTTTCTGAGTTCATAGGTTATAAGAGGTAAGTTGAACAATTCCCCAGATGATGCTGATGCTCCTGGTCCACAATGTGAGAACCACTAAGTTGGAGTACTGACTCATAGAGATAAAATTCTTTGAAAGAAATGTACTGTTTTAAGATACTGTAAAATGTGGAGGCAGGGCAAACGTTTATAAGGGCTGTTATGTATGAAATGTGCCTCTGACCCAAATCCACGGACTTTGCGAAAATCACCAAGGAGACTTTGCATTAAGTTCAGAGTACAATACAAACTGGGCCTAGCTCTGTATTTAGTCAGTATGTGCACGTGGGAAACTTTAGTAAAATATCACCTCCTTATTGAGACAAGTTTGGACATCTGGCCTTAAGCCTCTGTTGAACAGGAGAAGTGAAGCTGTTTGCAATTATATAATTTTCTAATTTGAAATCATGACAAGCAGTCTTAGAACAAAGTTAAAATTAAAAAGTCTTTATCCAAGTCACCAATGAAACAGGATTCTGATTCATTAATCATGTCTTGCCCACTTTTTTCAACAAACCTGACGTCCTATAATGAGCTATACAGTGTGAGGCATATTTCATAGCAACGTTGGTTGATTGCCAAGGAGACTCTGCCACCGTTCTGGATAAGCTCATGTTTCCCTTTTCCTTGGCTGCTAATAGAAGGGCAACTTACAGTGCAGGGTCAAGAGCAAGAAGCTGGGGGAGTAGAGGCTATACATCTAGCCTAATAATAGAGATCTGAGGTGGTCACCAGGAGACTACGTTCTTTTGATTCCATTCCTCAGCAGCAAAAGTACTTGAGTTCAAATGATAAAACTTGAAGTTGTAGGCTTGGAAGAGTATCAGCTCAGTATATCCTTCCTTGCATAAATACAAGGGAAAGGCCAAGGAATAATCAGCATTAACCTGCCAGGTCCAAGGGTCTTCTATCCCTGACTTCATCTGAGTCACAAGATTTCTCTAATAAGAGAAACTTTGCTACTCTGAGGAAAATTATCCCTTATGGGAGCCCCCAGTTCAGAGGTAAGAACAGTTCTTTCACGTGGAGGTCCAAAATTCTGGACTTCTAGAAACAAGTGAAGTGTGCTAAAGTCTCCTATTTATTGTTTCTCTTCCAGTATTGTGCCATCGATTCTTGCATAAAATTCTGGAATGCTGGCTCTTCATGGCTTTCCTCTGTAACTGCAAGGAAAAAAGGGCAATTCTTTTTCAACTCTTTCATTAGACAAACTGATTAGAGCCCGTCACCCATCCATCAGAAAACAGTACATTACTTCTAAGAAACTTAAGTACTCACTTCCCTCAAAAAGGAAATGTCTCCTAGAAGCATGCTCTATCATGCTGCCCAAAATGTAGTTTCTTTATAAGTAGAAAGAATACCTCCCTCATAGTAGCTAAAATAAGGTCCCACTTGTAGGTATTTTTAACCAAGAGAAATGAAAACATACGTCTACACAAAGATCTATTTGGAAACGTTTATAGTTGCTTTACTCATAATAGCTAAAATCTACCCAAATATCAGTCCACTGGGGAATGGATAAACAAACTGTGGAACATCCACAATAATGGAATATCACTCAGCAATAAAAAAGAACATACTGATACATGCAACAACATGGAGAGACTACACTACTGAGTCAAAAAAGTCAAATGCAAAAGGCTAAATACTGTGATTCTATTTCTATGGCATTCTGGAAAAGGCAAGATCAAAGGAACAGAAATCAGTCAGTGGTTGCCAGGCACTAGGTGTTCAGGATGGGGACTGAAAAAAAAGGGGCATGAGGAAGTTTTGGGGGGTGAGGGAAGTGCTCTACATTTCAACTGTGATTGTGGTTACAAGAAAGTATATATTTATTAAAGCTCATCAAACTATATACTCAAAAAGTGAGTTTCACTGTTGGTAAACTACATCTTAAAAAATCTGATTAAATAAGGCAATTTACATGTAAAACCCAGCCTAAAGAATAAGGAGATTTGCTCTTGGCCATAGCTAAGACCTAAATCGTATGGTGGTTTTCGTGTTTTTTTGTTTGTTTGTTTGTTTGTTTTTTGAGATCAAGTTTCACTCTTGTTACCGAGGCCTGAGTGCAATGGTGAGCTCTCAGTTCACTGCAGCCTCCGCCTCCCAGGTTCAAGCAGTCCTCCTGCCTCAGCCTCCCAAGTAGCTGGGATTACAGGTGCCTGCCACCAAGCCCAGCTAATTTTTTGTACTTGTAGTAGAGATGGGGTTTCACCATGTTGGTCAGGCTGGTCTTGAACTCCTGGCCTCAGGTGATCCGCCCACCTTGGCTCTCAAAGTGCTGGGATTACAGACGTGAGCCACCGTGCCCGGCCTATGGTTGTTTCAAGAATCAGATTCTGGCAGGGCATGGTGGCTCATGCCTGTAATCCCAGCACTTTGGGAGGCCGAGATGGGCGGATCACTTGAGGCCAGGAGTTCGAGACCAGCCTGGCCAACATGGCGAAACCCCGTCTCTACTAAAAATATAAAAAATTAACCAGCTGTGATGGCATGTGCCTGTGGTCCCAGCTACTCTGGAGGCTGAAGTGGGAGAATCACTTGAACCCGGGAGGCAGCGGTTGCAGTCAGCTGAGATCGTGCCACTGCACTCCAGCCTGGGCAATGAAGCAAAACTCTGTCTCAAAAAAATAATAGTAACAATTAGATTCTGCGCACAGTCCATAAAACTATGCCAAGTGGAATTTGGGTTTCCAGAGCCATTCTATCCTTACTGTTTTAGTCCATATAACCTTATGTATTATTTGTGTTTTTTGTTTTTGAGATGGTCTTACTCTGTCACCCAGCCTGGAGTTCTGTGGCACAGTCATAGCTCATAATAGCCTCAAACTTCTGGGCTCAAGCAACCCACCCACCTCAGCCTCCCAAACAGCTTGAACTACAGGTGTGAGTAACCATGCCCAGCTATTTTTTTCTTTTTTGTAGAGAGTGGGACTAACTATGTTGCCCAGGCTTGTCCAGAACTCCTGGCCTCAAGCAATCCTCCTGACTTGGCCTCCCAAAGCAGTGGGATTACAGGCATGAGCCACCACACCCAGCCCTTACATATTCTTAAAACAAAATACTAATAACAACAAACAAAAGTCCTGGATCCCTCAAACCAAGTTAGGACCTAAAGATAAGAAGACACAAGACCAACGAAAGGCCTGTAATCAGCTCAGTATTAACCATCCAGTAGGCAGGACAGGAACTCTCAATATAGGAAACTCTTTTCTGGTGCTGTATCCTTTATCCACTATTACTGGCTACACGCTTAAAGCAAGAAACTCCTGGGCAAACAATGTGAGGATAAGCAGATGCTCTGTTGCCACGGGCCACCTCAGCCACCTCTCACCTCTGTGGTCAATGTCATCAGTATCGCTGTCTGCTTCCTCATCCTCTTCATCCAAGGTTCCTCGAGTCAGGATCAAATCAGAAGGGTGCAGCACAGGAGATAAGCTGTCTACAGTGAAAACACCTATCAGTGATATGCCTCCTCAAAAAGGTGATCTTGAATCACTAAGTAACTATGATCATAAACTGGCAGGATGAAAGTGCTCATGATACATATAAACGCAGGATCTTACCTCTTCTAAATGTATTGTTAATACCACTTAACATTTCTATAATAGCTTAGTTCACAAAGTGCTTTCATAAGGCAAATAGCCCTAGGAGTCCCATTTTTTTAAGCTGAGGGAAATAATTTTCAAGAAGCTTGTCTTACTAGTAGCATCATTCTTTTTTACTGGCTCACAGCTTGGAAGGGGTGATGGTTTTTCCTATGAAAGCTAACAACATTTGAGCAGATCCAGTGTGCTGGTGAGTCACAGTGAAAGTGTGGAGTGCTAAGGAAGCCTCCTGGTGGAAATGTAAGTTCAGAGAAGGTCTGCAGAAAATACAGGGTGAAATGTTATCAAGGAGCCAGGGTATTATTTAAGAAGAGGAGGGAGGGGAAAAATAGAAAATCAAATACACTAATAGAAGTAAAATTCCCTATTCAGAAAAACTAGTGAGGGCTGAGCTCCAGTAATCAGAGAGAAGTCTAATCAAGTCACTACTGCCATGGGAGGACATAGTCACTCTCTCTTCAGGAGCCTATGAGGCTTGCGAGAGCTCAGCTAGGGAATAAGGGTGGCCAGAGACAGCAACATCAACTGGCACAAATCTCAAGGGGCCTGTGGGCCTGAAAAAGGAGGATGACAGGACATGCTGACAGTAAATGCTTCATTCTGTGCCTAACAATTATGCAACTATACTTGTGACTTTCCTCAAATGATTTACTTAAACTCTCCCAACCTTCAACAGGTTAGCTGACTACAGCAGACCCTTTGCAGCAGTAGTTTTAACATTGACTTCACATATTCAGAAGTGATTCTAAAGGACTGTGGCACATAGAAATGTATTTTGCTGAGCTGTACAACAGGATGGCACAAGTGAGTACACTTAACTGGTAAACCCAGTCCGTTACTAGCTTTGCTGTTCTCTACTAGATATAGAGCAATAACTTTCATGAACAGAAGCATCACTCCTTTAAGAAAGATGTCCCAGAAAAAAAAAATGCTAGTGTTGCTGATGAGAAGAAAAAATAAATGTACAATTTATTACAATAAATAAATAAATGGAGCTTTTCTTTTAAGTACAGTCAATTTGGTTGCAGGATTCCACTAAGCTGCAATAGACTTGCATCTGAATCTTGAGGGCAGTCCCTCAATATACAGGGGTGGGGGTGGAAGGTGGGCTGTAAATGAAAACTAACCTAAAAACCCCTGCAGAGCCAATGATAAAACTAAAAAAAAATTTTTAATTCAGTAAAGTAGCAGGATAAAAGATGAATATACAGAAATCAAAAGCCTTCATACATACAAACATAAACCAGTTATAAGATGTAACGGTCCAGAAAATCCCATTTTCAACAGTAATGAAGAAGGTTAAATACTTAGAATAAATTTCAAGCTGGGGCTGGGCATGGTGGCTCATGCCTGTAATCCCAGCACTTTGGGAGGCTGAAATGGGCAGATCACCTGAGGTCAGGAGTTCAAGACCAGCCTGGCCAACATGGCAAAACCCTGTCTCTACTAAAAATGCAAAAATTAGCTGGGCGTGGTGGCATGTGCCTGTAGTCCCAGCTACACAGGAGGCTGAGGCACAACAATCGCTTGAACCCGGGAGGCGGAGGTTGCAGTGAGCCGAGATCGCGCCATTGCACTCCAGCCTAGGTGACAGAGCAAGACTCTGCCTCAAAAATAAATACATACATACATAAATTTCAAGCTGGGTACAGTGGTTCACACCTGTAATCCCAGTACTTTGGGTGGCTGAGGTGGGCAGATCACTTGAGCCCAGGAGTTCGAGACCAGCCTGGGCAACACGGCAAAACCTCATCTCCACTAAAAATACAAAATTTAGCCCGGCATGGTGGCAGGCACCTCTAGTTCCAGCTACTTGGGAGGCTGAGGCAGGAGAATAGCTTGAACCCAGGAGGCAGAGGCTGCAGTGAGCCAAGATCACACCACTGCACTCCAGTTGGGGTGACAGAGCAAGACCCTGTCTCAAAACAAATACATAAAGATGATTTGTTTTAAAAAAAAAAAATTAAAAAGAAACAGGCAAAAACTCTTGGTCAAAAAGGTTGGCTAAAATAACAAAAACATTTTAAAAAGAAATAAGAAAAACCTATATATGGAAAACTGGAAACACTCCTGAAAGACACAAGTAGACCTGACAAATACAAAGACACTCTGTGGTCTTGGGTAGCAAGACTGAACATCATAGAGATGTCACTTCTCCCTAAATTAATTATGAATATAATGTAATCCCAACTAAAATACCAAAAAGCTTTTTTAAGGAACTAGATAAAGTTGATACTCAGTTCATATGGAAGAACATGTAAGGACAGCCAAATAAAAATTAGGAGGAGAATCTGATCTAGCAGATATTGAAACATAATTACATAATTAAAACAACATGGTACAGGCATAAAAGTAAGGAGTCCTTGCTCACCAAAGCAAGTTAAAAGAAAAAAAAAATGGGCTGGGGATGGTGGCTTATGCCTATGATCCCAACACCTTGGGAGGCCAAGACAGGAGGACTGCCTGAGGCCAAGAGTTCAAGACCAGCCTGGGCAACATGGTGAGACCTCGTCTCTATTAAAAATTTCCTTAAAACTAGCCAGACGTGGTGGCACACACCTGTAGATCTAGCTACTCTGGAGGCTGAGACAGGGGGAATGCTTGAGCCCAGTAGTTCGAGGCTGCAGGGAGCTATGATTGCGCCACTGCACTCCAGCCTGGGTGACAGAGTGAGAAACTATCTCAAAAAAAATAAATAAATAAACAGTCCAGTGAAATAATATAGAAGTATACTCAAGTATGCATGGAACTTTACTACATTTAGAGATGAGGTCTGAGGCTGGTCTGGAACATTATACACGTAGCATCTCAAATCGCTGTTACAAGCCAGGTGCAGTGGCATACACCTATCCAAACTAGTTGGCAGGCTGAGATGGAAAAATCGCTTGAGCCCAGGAGGTCCAGACCAGCCTCAGACCTCATCTGTAAAAAAAAAAAAAAAAAAAACACTACCAAAAAAAAAACTCACTAAGGCAAAGGCAGACTTTTAAATAAATCATACAGATACAACTATTTATGAAAAAAATAACACCGACTTATATACCTTATACTATAGCCAGGAATAAACTCTAAATTAATCGGGGATCTCAATTTAGAAAATAAAACCAGACAAATCTATAAAAAAAAATAGGTGAATTCCTCTTTAACATAGGTATATATAGAGGCTTCCTAACTGTGACTTAAAATCCCAGATGCAATAAAAGATAGATCAATTTGACTACATCAAAACAAAATAAGAACTTTTGCATGGCAAAATAACACCGTGAACAAAGTCAAAGGATAACTGATAGGGAGAAAATATTAAACATTTGCAACATATAATCACAGAAAAATTGATATTCCTATTATATCAATGGATATTAAAACTAATGGGTGAACATTAGAAAACTAAAAGGATATTTATAGTCTCAAAGCATCACCCCACAAAATTCTTATTACAAACAGAAAAACAGCCATATTTAAAAATAGTAATTTTTGTTGTTGTTGTTTTTAAGATGGAGGGAGTCTCACTCTGTCACCCAGGCTGGAGTGCAGTGGCGCGATCTTTGCTCACTGCAACTTCTGCCTCCCGGGTTCAAGAGACTCTCCAGCCTCAGCGAGTAGCTGGAATTACAGACATGCACGACCACGCCCAGCTAATTTTTTGTATTTTTAGGAGAGATGGGGTTTCACCATGTTGGCCAGGCTGGTCTCGAATTCCTGACCTCAAGTGATCCACCCGCCTCGGCCTCCCAAAATGCTGGGATTACAGGCGTGAGCCACTGCGCCCGGCCTAAAAATAGTAATTCTTTATGAAAAACGTAGCATACACCACTTTATAAAAATACTCAAAGTTAACATCACCAGTAATGGGACAAATCAACATCACGTGCCTCCCAATGTGATTCCTTGAAAAAACACAATTCAAAAATTAGTCACCTGAATCAAATCATGAGGAAACATGAGACAAACCTAAACTGAAGGATGCTCTATAAAATAACTATCCTACATGCTTAAAAAATGTCAGTCATGAAATACAAAGTCAGACTAAGGCACTGTTCCAGATTCTAAAGGAGTATAAGGCATGTGAGAATTAAATACAATGCACATCCAGATTTTCTCCTGCTATCATGGGGAAATGGCTACATCTGAATAAGATCTATATGTTAGCTAATATTATAGTATTATGTCAATGTTAATTTCCTGATTTCTGATAACTGCACTGAGGTTATATAAAATTATATCCTTGTTTTTAGGAAAAAGACACTGAATTATTCAAGGTAAAAGAGTATTATATCTGTAACTTACTCAAATGATTCAGGAAAAATATATATTTATATAACATATAAAGTCATATATAGATAAAGAATAAAGTAAACATGGTAGAATGTTAACATTTTGGGAATCTGATAGAATAATTATGGCAATTATTTGTATTATTCATGTAACTTCTGTAAATCTGAAATTAAGGTCAAACTGTAAAAAAAAAAAAATTTTTTTTAATTATAAAAAAAATTGAGGAGGGTTAAAAGTGTTAGAAACAAACAAAAAAAACCACCACAGCACACATCAAGTATATTGCCAAAGTAAAGCAAAAACTTCCTGAAAGAGGAACCCAAAGTGGTAGAGCTGTATATAATTTCAAATTTGCCTTTCCAAATCCTTTATTTTTTAATATATATGTATGCATATGTATGTGTGTGTGTGTGTGTGTGTGTGTGTGTGTGTGTGTATATATATATATATAAAACCACATTTCCTTTATCTTTTTCTCTTTCTCTCTCTCATATATAAACAGAATCCTGCTGATAGAAATAAGTGTAACCGGCCAGGCACAGTGGCTCATGCCTGTAATCCCAGCATTTTGGGAGGCCCAGGTGGGTGGATCATCTGAGGTCAGGAGTTCGAGACCAGCCTGACCAACATGGAAAAAACCCCATCTCTACTAAAAATACAAAATTAGCCGGGTGTGGTGGCACATGCCTGTAATCCCAGCTACTCAGGAAGGCTGAGGCAGGAGAACTGCTTGAACCTGGGAGGTGGAGGTTGTGGTGAGCCGAGACTCCAGCCTGGGCAACAAGAGTGAAACTCCGTCTCAAAAATAAATAAATAAATAAAAGAAAGAAGTGTAACCTTTTTTTAGTTCCTAACACCAAGAAACCCTCCAATACCTTTGGCAGTCCCTGCATCCAAGGCTACAGAACCCATATCTTTTCGAAGGCGTTCCAGTTGTTCTCTCTGCTGTTGGCTCTCTGCGTTGGCCTGTATATACAGAGAAAAATGTCATCATATTCAAAAAGGAGTCCCAAATTAGATGCCAGACTTCTCAGTGGAGATGAAGAATTATACAAATACTAGAGGCTACATAAAAACTGATGCAGATAAGGGACGTCTGGTATAGGGACAGAAACACTAAGTAGCGTGGGCCTGGGTTACTGCAGAAGTTTAGACTGGAGGGCTCTGCAGACTGATTTAGAGGGTTCAGAAACGGAACACAAAAAGGTTTCAAAAGAACCCTCAATTCTAAAGTGTTGAGTTCAGTCCAGGGTGGATCCCCTGCTCTGTTAATTGAACTGGAACATTTAAACTGGCTAGGCAAAATGCCTACATAGAAAGCATTACTCTTTATTCATCCCCAGCCTACAAAATGAAAAAACAAAAGATACAATAAACTTTATTATATGGGGGAAAAAAAACACAAAAACCTGAAGTAGACATAGCAGGAAGGCTCAGAGACAAAGGATCCAATGAGCCTAAGGAAGCAGGACACTCGATCATTTGGGATAAGAGAAGGCTGGGCATGGTGGCACCTGCCTGTAATCCTAGCACTACAGGAGGCCCAGCAGGGAGGACTGCAGGAGCTCAGGAATTTGAGACCAGCCTGGGCAACACGGTGAGACCTTGTCTATACAAAAAATTTACAAAATAAAATTAGCCAGGCATGTGGTACATACATGTTGTCCTAGCTACTCGGGTGGCTGAGATGGGAGGATCGCTTAAGCCCAAAAGGTCGAGGCTGCAGTGAGCCGCGATCGTGCCACTGCACTCTGGCATGGGTGACAGAGTGAGACCCTTTCTCAACAACAAGAAAAGGAGTTGTGAAGCACCACTACACTCTTATACAAAATTCTACAACTAGCTTTAAATTGACCTCTGAAAGGGAAGAAACATTAAGGAGACTTTCCGCACCCAGACAACATACATACAAATTTACAAATTTAAATTAACAAGTATTTAGAAGATACACTGAAATTTCATTAGCCACTTGTACCTCAATAAAGCTACAAAAAAAACTTTTTTAATTAAATAAAAGATACATTAATAACCAAAACAAAAGCACTTATGTCATCAAGATTGAGCTGGGTTTTTTTAATGGCCCTTTTAAAATATACAAACAGCCTCCCTTCTTACCAGTGATTTTTTCAGACGTTCATATTCAGGACGATACTCCCTGTAAAGAGAAACACTTTCTAAATTCCTTTGCTTAATCCTCTATCCTACTGACTCTCCACATCCCCTTATCTCTATTTTCCTAAGACTGACAATAATAAAACATCTGACTTCATTCAACATCAGATGTAACAAATCTTAGTCACTGACAGAGTCTACCCAATGGAATTAAAAGCCAAGGTGCCCGCTCCCACCTTGGAACCAGGAGACACAATCCTGACTGCTGGGCTGGAAAGATTAATATTGGTGAGAACATGACTGATGAACTCACCATTCATTTGAGATAAAAGGGTGAGATAAGTAAAAGATAAGCCTGTTGAGCTCAGGACGTGCAACATACAATTATGTGCTTTACTTGAACAACAACAGTGAAAGGATACAGAAAAGAGTCTATCCTAAGGTTTTGATAACACCCTTGTGTCTAATGAATCAAAATCAAAATAACATGTCTGAAAACCAAAATATGGTTGTTAGGATCTTGCAAAATATGAAGCCAAAGACACATGACACTAATAAGCCGGCTATCATGCCACAGGCCTAAGGAAAGTGCACAGGGCTCTGACTCCACTTTTCTTTACTTGAATTCCAGTATTAACAATGACAATAGTTATAACATTTATTATAAAATGTGCTTACTATATGTCAGCAATTGTGATAAGTGCTGTATACGTTTTCTCAATCTTCACAACAACCTTAGTGCCAAATCCAGCCCACTGCCTGTTTTCATAAATGTTTTTCTGTAACACTAGCCACGCCCATTAATTTACAAATTGTCTGAGGACGCTTTTGTCCTACAATGGCAGACGTGAGCAGTTGCAACAGAGACTATATGACCCACAAAGCCTGAGCTACCTACTGTTTAGCTCTTTACAGAAAAGTCTGATGATCCCTGCTCTTAATCACTCAATACAATGAAGATTTATACTTCTATTTAAAAAAAACAAAATTTAAAGGGAACTTGTCACCCCTAAGTGTGGTCTGATTCAATACACATATGCAAACCAAATATAATACATCCATCATGAAAATGTAATGCTTTTCCTGGAAAAACTGCTTTCATATCAGAATTGTAGGTTATTAAGAATGTCATCAATAGAATTTTCCTTTATCCTCACCTTTCATATTCTTCGGCAGCACTGGTAACTTGCACAAAGAGTTCATCTAATCCAGTACCCAGAACAGCAGAGACACCCACCACCTGCCAAAAAGCATCATAAATGCCACTAAAGAAACCATTGTATATTTTTTAATGAAGTACATTAACTTGTTTAAATGTCATAAAATCTTAGTAAGAGTGGTTTATATTTTGAGAAGTCTTTGGCAAAAAGCCAGGCTAAAAAAGAACAAAACAGCACACCCAGTCAAAAGTCACAGAAATAAGTCCATGGAAAATAAAAAATTGAAAAAGAAAGATATGGCCTGAGTGCAGTGGCACATGCCTATACTACCAGTACTTTGGGAGGCTGAGGCAGGAGGTGCACTTGAGGCCAAGCATTCAAGACTGGCCTGGGGAACATAGCGAGACCCCAGTCTCTACAAAATATAAAAAATTAGCTGGGTATGGTATACCGCACACGCCTATAGTCTTAGCTGCTTGGTAAGCTGAGGCAGGAGGATCCCTTGAGACCACGAGGTCAAGGCTGCAGTGAGCTGTGATCCTGTCACTACACTCTGGCCTGGGTAAAACAAAGCAAGATCCTCTCTCCAAAGGGAAAAAAGAAAAAAAAAAGATAATTAGGACTGAACAATTAACAGGACTTATTATCTATTCCCTAACAAACCAAACCAAATCACTTTCTGCTTTGTCTATGTCTTTCCTTGGGCAATTAACCCATTCTGCCTTTGCTTACATAAATCTTACCCTTCTTCAAAGCATACCTCTAATGCTACATCCTCCAAAATCTGTCATTTTGATCTGCCGCCTCACAATCATCAGGCCCAACTTCCAATCTTTCTTAAGGTACTTACTACAATATATCATATGTTTTAATTCTGTGTGTAGCCTTCTCTCCCAAATAGACTATAAACTCTGAAGCTGGGGTCCCTATCTTATTCTTCTTGTACACTCCACAATTTTTAATAAGCAATGCTTTAAAAGTTACTTTTCAGTAGGTAATAAGCTTCCTTTCTCAGCCAGGTTCAAAGCCAATCCTATGGGTTAACAGATTATCTGGAGAGGCTGTCAGTGTGAGCAGGAGAGAAAATTTACCCTGAGTGAGCTGTAAAACTCATCTAACACCAGGCTCATTGAACGAGTCAGGTTACTGACGTATGTAGTCTCTTGATTCAAGGCATCTTGGAAAGCCTCAAAATCCTGCATCCATTCCACTGCAAAGCTGTGGTCAATGATGTCAGTCTGTACCAGAGAGAAGTCAATTATGAGCAACCAGAGCCAACAAACGCAAAATTTATTCTTTTAATTAAGTGTTGACAGCAAAGAACATATCATCCATATATTTTCTTTCTCTGCTTCTATTTCCCCTCCATTGCAACAAGCCACAAAGAACCACAATCATTGTGTAGTCAGTGTAATTAAATGAAGATGTGTATTCTCTTGGTTGACCCTCCACTATCCACTGCCAAGTACCAGGACCAGAATGGACACCAGCACATTCTAGGCTCTGAAGTCAAAAGGTCTCTTGCATCCTAGCCATCAACCAACAGAGAAGTTTAGAATTTTTTAATTGCCACTTCCAGTAGACTAGTTGTCCCTCTCGTAATTACACAATCTTGACTCTGAGGGATAATCTACATACTGTGGTTGAAGTGCTACTCTACCTAGCCTAAAATAATTTTAGACAAGAGTTGGTAATAATTGCTCATTCAATTTGATTGATTCATTTTCTCGAAGTGCCTATGAATTTGTTTCAGTAAAGCCTGAATCTGGTCTCCAGCATCTGAAATAATCTTTCTCACCCACCTAAACCTTCTAACCACAAGGTTCTGATGAAAAATGGTGAATCACAACAGGAAGAATACACTTACTTTATTCATGACCACAATGAAAGGCAGCTTGGTTTTGTATAAGATGCTGAAAACCAAACATTGAGAAGTTATTAGTAAAAGCACATAAGCTCTTGCTCATCCAGTGTCAGCATGTCGGGACTAAGTAAGAGAACAGAAATGAGTTCAGAATCTAAAAAGTAGTCATCCATTTTTACATAACATCATATAGTCTCTGCCAACAGGAAAACAACTACCACCCAGAAGCAACACACACACTCTCACTCTTGTTTGAAGTAATAATGCCTTAATATTGAACTTGTTTTTGTTTTGTTTTTTAACCAAATTGGTATTTTTCAGAGAAGGAAATGAACATTTACTGAATACCTATTACAGGTTGAGAATTTCCTATCTAAAATACTTGGGACCAGAAGTGTTTTTTATTTCAGATTTTGGAATATTTGTAAATACTTATTGGTTGAGCATCCCAAATCTGAAAATCCAAAATCCTCCAATAACCATTTCCTCTGAGTGTCATGTCAGTGTCTAGAATGTCTCACATTTTGGAGCATTTCAGATTTCAAATTTTTGGATAAGGGATGCTCAATCTGTATAGTCTAGGCACTGTGCTAATAAGCACTTTCATAAGTATTATCTCCTTTATTCTTTACAAATAACATGTAAATATATACAATTTTTATTTGTCAATTATACCTCAATAAGGCTGGGAAAAGAATATTAAAATTTTTTTCAATCTGTAAAGTAACATCTTAAAAATGTTTCTACCCCTACCTTTATTGAGGTATAGTTGACAAATAAAAATTATATATATTTAAGGTGTACAAAGGGATATTTTGATACACAGTTGACCCTTAAACAACATAGGTTTGAACTGCAAGGTTTACTCATATGCACCTTTTCTTCCACCTCTGCCACCCAGAGACAGCAAAACCCAACCCCTACTCTTAGACTACTCAAAGTGAAGACGATTAGGATGAAGAGTTTTATGACGATCTACTTCACTTAATGAACAGTTAATATATCTTCCCCTTATTTTCTCTAGCTTTATTATATGAATACAGCATATAATACATATAATATATATGTAATGTGTGTTAATCTACTGTTTATGTTACCAGCAAGGTTTCCAATCAACAGTAGGCCTTTAGTAATTAAGTTTGGGGGGAGTCAAAGTTTTATATTTTGTAGAGATGGGGTTTCACCATGGTGCCCCGGCTGGTCTCTGCAGGGGTTGGCGCCTCTAACCCCCAAATTGTTCAAGGATCAACTGTATGTTTCATCATGAAATGATTACCAGCTGGGGGTGTGACTCATGCCTGTAATCTGAGCACTTTGGGAGGCCACGCTGGGAGGACTGCCTGAGCCCACGAGTTCAAAACCAGCCTGGGCAGCATGGCGAGACCCCACCTCTAAAAATAAATTAATTAATTTTTTTAAAAAGAAATGATTAACACTATCAGGCAAATCAAATAATTTTCTTTTAAACAATTAATATGAAAATGGGCCAGGCACAGTGGCTCATGCCTGTATTCCCAGCACTTTGGGAGGCCAAGGCGGGCAGATCACTTGAGGTCAGGAGTTTGAGACCAGCCTGGCCAACAAGGTGAAACCCCGACTCTACTAAAAATACAAAATTAGCCAAGTGTGGTGACTACTCAGGAAGCTGAGGCAGGAGAATCACCTGAACCCAGTAGGCGGAAATTGCAGTACGGTGAGATTGTGCCACTGTACTCCAGCCTGGGTGACAGAGCAAGACTCCGTCTCGAAAAAATATAAATAAATAAATAAATAAATAATTAATATGAAAATGAAATAATGCTGTCAATCTTCAGATTTCTATTTGGATCACAATTTCTTGCATCCACCAAAAAGGGACATCCCTTGTCATATCAGAAAAGACAAATGTTGGTGATGGCATTTGTGTACCCTCAAAATTAAATTCTCTCAGCTTTAATAACTGTCAGCCTTGCTCCTCAGTCTTAATGCACTAATCTAGTGAGGCATGCCCTTCCTCTGCTAATGGTGCCACATTTGGGGCAAACCAGTGCATTTTATTTTTTTGAGACAGGGTCTCACTCTGTTGCCCAGCCTGGAGTACAGTGACATCATCACAGCTCACTCCAACCTTGGCCTCCCAGGCTCAAGCAATCCTTCCACCTCTGCCTCCCAGGTAGCGGGGATTACAGGCACACACCACCATCCCTGGCTAATTTTTTGTATATTTTGTAGAGATGGGGTTTCACCATGGTGCCCAGGCTGGTCTCAAACTCCTGGGCTCAGGCGATCCTCCCACCACAGCCTCCCCAAGTGCTGGGATTATAGGCATGAGCCACCATGCCTGGCCACCTGTGCATTTTACAATTATGGATAAATCTTCTTATTCATGGTATCTCCTCATGTTACAATTTCACTCTACCAGCATCATTTAGGCCAGAGGACTCTATTCTTCTCTCTCTCTCTCGTTGCCCCAGGCTCTTGTTGCCCCAAGCCGGAGTGCAGTGGCACAATCATGGCTCACTACAGCCTCAACCACCTGAGCTCAAGCAATCCTCCCACGTCAGCCTCCCAAGTAGCTGGGACTACAAGGGCGTGCCACCACGCTGGCTAATTTTAAAACATTTTTTGTAGAGACAGAGTCTTGCTATGTTCCCCAGCCTGGTTTCAAACTCCCAAGCTCAAACGATCCTCCCACCTTGGCCTCCCAAGTGTAGGGATGACAGACCCAGCCCAGAGGACTTTATCTTTAAACTTGGATTTTATCCAACTGGGAACAACTATCAGACAGTTCATATTCATACATCACCTTTTTGTAACAACAAGGGAGGAAGATCAGAGGGTATTGAGAGAGAATGCCAACAGCACATGTGCCTCTTTTCTCCTCTGACCTTCCCCAGCTCACAGCCACTCAACTGAACAGCAAATCTGAATGAGCACAAATCCAGGGGTAAGCAACCAGATTCAAAAAAAAAAAAAAAAGAGGAAGAAGAAGAGAAAAAGGCCTTATACCTTGATGGAACACTTTCCCCACCAACAATCAATTACCTGCAGGCATAGAGCATGTTGGACATGAAGGTCACTGGGTTGGTACTTCTCGATGTGTCCATTACATAGATGACAACTGTTGGAAATGAGGATGCCTAAAGCCACAAAAAAATCAAAGCCTTGGTCAGAGGGCTCACGATCTGTCCTCAAACTCTTTTTCCACCATCCTTAACAAGGGAAAACCACTTTAGGCAGGGTGTGCAGAGCTTCTACAACTTCCTCCCATATAAAGTCCAAGGCAATTAAAAATAAATGCTCATCCAGTCTAGCCCCTCTAGCTACTCTCAGTAGCAAGTCCTAGAATACTCACAAGGGCTTCAGTGATAATTGTCCCAGAAGCTGACCAGGTGAATACCTCAATCTGTCCAGGTGTGTCAATCAACACATATCTATGTCAAGAAAGATCATTAAAGAAGTGTTACATTTGTGTTATGCTGAAGGATATTCCATCATATAAGACAATAAACATCTGGTTATCCAAGACTGGAGTAACCTCTGCACACTGCCAAATCTAACTTCCTCCTACTGGCCCTAAACTGCACATGATGATCCCCTAGACTTTGTTCAATGACCAATATTCACGCCAATGGGCAGGAACAGCAGACCATGAGTTGCTGCAAATGATCACAGGGGAAACTTTTATAGAAACACAATGCATTTAAAATGAAAGACACAAAACCAGAATGTAAATCTCTTGGGAAACATCTGGTTGCTTAGGGCGGGGGTGAGTGTGGAACAGAGGAAGAAGAATGGGAGGAATGGGAAAGTGCTAGCTGAAGAATATCAGGTTACTTCTTGAGATGATGAAAATATTCTAAAATTGACTGTGGTGATAGTTGTACAATTCTGTGAATATACTAAAAGCCACTGAATTGTATACCTTAAATGGGTGAATTGTATGGTATGTGAATTATCTCAATAAAGCTGTTTTTATGAACTATATCAACTTTTTTGTGAATTAATTTGATATAATTATGAATTATATCAGAATTTTTTTAATTGGCAAAGAATTCTAATAGACATTTCTCTAAATATATACATACCAATGGCCAATAAGTACATTAAAAAGATGTTCAATATCATTAGTTATTAAGAAAATAAAAGTAAAAACCACAATGAGATACCACTCTATATCCACTAGAATGGCTATAATCAAAAACAAGAAGAATAACAAAAGTTGGCAAGGTTATGGAGGAACTGGTTGTGGAGAAATCATATTGCCAATGGGAATGGAAAATGGGGTAGTCACTAGGGGCTAAAGGGAACAGAAAATAAGGAGTGATTGGTAATGAGTATGGGGTTTCTTTTCAGGATGACAAAAATATTCTGAAGATAGTAATTATCAACACACGACTCTGTGGACAGACTAAAACAACCATACACTTTAAACGAGTGAACTTTATGGTATATGAATTATATCTTAATAAAGCTGTCATTAAAAAAAAAAAAATACCTCCAGGCCAGGCTCAGTGGCTCACACCTATAGTTCCAGCACTTTGGGAGGTTAAGCCGGGCAGATCACTTGAGGTTAGGAGTTTGAGACCAGTCTGGCCAACATGGTGAAACCCCATCTCTACTAAAAATACAAAAATTAGTCAGGCATGGTAGCAGGCCACCTGTAATCCCAGCTACTCAGGAGGCTGAGGCAGGAGAATCGCTTGAACCCGGGATGCAAAGATTGCAGTGAGCCAAGATCACACCACTGCACTCCAGCCTAGGCAATAGAGCGAGACTCCATCCCAAAAATACAAAAATACAAAAATTAGCCAGGTGTGGTGGCTCACACCTGTAGTCCCAGCTACTTGGGAGGCTGAGGTGGGAGGATCACCTGAGCCAGGGAGGTGGAAGTTACAGTGAGCTGAGATCACTACACTGTACTCCAGCCTGGGCGACAGAGCAAGACCCTGTCTCAAAACAAAACAAAAGCTACCTCTAGTACCCCATTTTTGTAAAAGCACTTTTATCCATTCATCCTTCTATCTGTGTATATAGAAATGTGGAATGCTAGTCGCTGAATGATGATGTTACTTCTAGTGGGAATCGGGGTGATGGTTTCATCTTATAAATATCATGCATGGTTTGAATTTTTATAAAACAATAAATTATCTTTTTTAAAAAAAGTAAACCTTGAACAACAGCTAACTGGGTAATGGCCATAAGAACAAATATTTCCTATTCTGACACTCTGTAAATTAAAAAATTTTCTCTGAACCATGTAGACTATATTCATTTAAATAAGAATTAGAAAGGTATTTCAGATACTTTAATGACAACAAGCATGGTTTCCCAAGAGAAGGCAGGTGGACAACTGAATTGGGACAAAGTCTCAAAAGAGCTCCTAAGAAGCCATGTAAATTGGGGATCAAAGTAATTGAGGATGAAATGATATTAAATTTAGCTCTATATTCTAAAGCATCTTAATGATTTGCCAATTTTTTTTTCACTCCTAATGGTTTCATCTCAATCTATATTCTTTCAGAGGCTGATGGTATCCCAGATCCTCCATGAAGCCTAGAAATATGTCAGCTACAGAGTAATAAATGGGTGTTACTGACATCACTTACTTGGACATGTTCTGGGCCTTCTCAATAAATTTCATCACCTAAAAGAAAAAGATGTCAATGACAACAAATTCCGATTTCAACACAAAATCACAGAGCCCTCTCCAGGGTGGCATACCTCACAGGCACTATCACCTACTGAATCCCTCAATCACCTACTGAACATTTGCAATCTTAGGACAACAAAGAATAAACAGGCTGAACTAAAGCAACACAGCCACATCAGCAGCACTCCAATACCATCTTGGGGCACAATCCAAGGATCTGAGAAGCTGAAGACTTTGATCTGTCAATGTCAAGTTGTTATCTCTTGTCAAAATGTTAACAGCCTGTCTCATGGCCTAACATCAGAGTATAAAAACCAGTGATTATAAAACACTCTTATGGAAGTAGGTGACAAAGAAAACCTAAAGAATGACAAATATTTATCACAAGTAAAATGCCCCATCATCTTTCCATTCCATGACTGCTAGTCCATCCCACTCCCAAATACCCCCATCCCAGCTTCGGGGTAATACCACAGGCAAAGAACAGGTCAAGAAAATAACCCAGGTCTTTTGGATTTTTATTAGCTGTCACAAATATTAAATTTGAAGTGTCTGACCATACTGATCACCTTCTCATAGTCTACTTCTCTGTCTGACAAAATGCCTACTTATTTTCTATATTTATGCTCAGGTTTGCTGCTCTTCTTTACCAATGTGATCAAGCTAAGGAATTTAAGAGTCACAGATTTTTACACAACCATATTAATATACTAAAGACAGATATACCTGATCAAATCTGGTAGCAAAGAGATTGAGTGAGGTCACTATGCCGCCATTGGGTCCAAGTCCATATCTAGACACCAAGTTGAGGACTGAAATCGCTTATAGATTAGATTATAAAGTTCATACCTAGGCTATCATTCACACAAACGGCATTATGAAATTAGTGTTCCATTAATGGATACTGGCAACCTAATCCTTGACTACCATACAAACTTAACCACACAGGGAAACAGTCATTATCAAGGTCTGGCTCACTCATTTGATTTAAGGAGTGGTCAGGCAAAATGAAGAAAGCAAAGTGACCAAAATGTAATACAGGTGCATCAGGCAGTGACAGCCCACTGGCATTGGTCATTAAGGCCACCTGTATAACACCTCCGGCTCTGATCCTCATAAATAAACCAAGCAATCTGCTGATTATGATTAGTCTTCCTACTTAGACTTGCCTACGGAGAGAGTACACATTTCATACAGCAATTTACTAAGAGTTAATCCAACTAAACTCACTCATTTCTGAGTTTCCCAGTCTAAAGAGGTGGTGACCAACAGATGATCCTCCAAGGCAAAATACTACCTTGTGGGACCCAGGTAGCTGTCAGTTATCCTATCATACTCTCTGCTCTTTAATTACAACAGCCTGCCATCTGGGGAGATGGTAAGAAAACTAAAATCTCAAGCTGAAATAGTATTTCTGATCACCTACCTCTCCCACAATCAGCTTCCATCCTTTTGCTTGTATATTTCACAAGGAAAAGGCAAAAACACTCTTTCAAGCCACAAAATACACAGACAAGAAGCCAGGAATGAGTCAAGACCAAAGTAGATGGAAAAGGATACTGTTTCATTACTTCTTTATACTTTACAGTATCACGAATATCTGAGGAGAAAAAAAAGAATTAACTGGAATGTAATACATACACATTCCCTACCACCAGGAAAGTAAAACTGGCCTTCTAGCCTTCTCCTGTCAGCATTCTCTTCTACCACCTCCACTTTCACACTGGTTTCCTTCCTTACAAAGAATAAATGCCAAGTAAATCATGAAGAATGTTAGGGCTAGGAGCTCTAAAGTTGTGGCAAAGAGTTTTGTCTCCACAAAGTGCAAAGTTTCATGCAACTTAAACATGCCTAGAAAAAGGGAGGCAAAAATCAAGGGGGAAAAAATGCTTCTTACTAATTGCCTATTACTGACAAAGGCAACACAATGGCAATGCAGACATGATTTTTTAAAAGGAGTTAGGCTGGGCACAGTGGCTCACACCTATAATCCCAGCACTTTGGGAGGCCAAGGCAGGAGGATTACTTGAGCCCAGGAGTTCAAGACCAGCCTGGGCAACATAGAGAGGCCTTGTCTCTCCAAACAAAACAAAACTAGCCCAGCATAGCGGCAGGAGGCTGAGGTGGGAGGATCACTTGAGCCTGGGATGTTGAGGCTGCAGTGACCTGTGAATCACGCCACTGCACTCTGGCCTGGGTGACAGAGACTCTGTCTAAAAAAAAAAAAAAAAAAAAAAAAACCTAAGCTGTTTAGGAATGCAAGCAAATCCAAAGGAAATGAAAGTAGATAGTTTAGAAAACATGAAAAAAGAAGGCACTGAAGACTGGCAGGCTGGAGGCTTTACAGAGTCTCACTCTATTGACCAGGCTGGAGTGCAGTGGCACGATCTTGGCTCACTGCAACCTCTGCCACCCGGGTTCAAGCAACTCTCCTGCCTCAGCCTCCCGAGTAGCTGGAATTACAGGTGCCTGCCACCGTGCCTGGCTAATTTTTTGTATTTTTAGTAGAGATGGAGTTTCACCATCTTGGCCAGGCTGGTCTTGAACTCCTGACCTCGTGATCTACCTGCCTCGGCCTCCCAAAGTGCTGAGATTACAGCCGTGAGCCACCACGCCTGGCCTTTTCCATTCTCTTTAAAGCACTGCACACAAGTTATGTTACTGGTTTACTCACCAATATTGGCAGGAAAGGGAACTTCATGTACTGCTGGATCCAGGTTGATCACATACGGTGGAGTGCCTTGGGCATGCAGGTGTCCTGTGAGCCTCTGCAGAGATATGGGGAGAGGGTTGGAAGGAGACAAAGAGGGGACAAGAGAGAACTTCCATTCCTTTAACACCCATGCCTTAAGAATATTGCACTTAGATTTTCTTCTACCTGAAATATCCACCATGTCCACCTCCAAGATACAACTCTCAGTTCAAATGCTACCTTTCTTCATCACCCATCTAACAAAGCTTCCCCTACTCGTAGTCACTTGTTTACTTGTTTTGATTCTTCGTATGTGGGTTTTCTCTATCTCCTCCATTAAATATTTGGCCCCACGAATGAATCTTGTCAACCTCATTTTCGCTATATCCCCAGTGAATGGAACATGACAGGCGTGCAAGAAATATTTGGCAAATCTTCACCAAAACCTGTGTGCTAGCACTGTATTAATCTTTAAAGTTACTTGTAACTTGCCTCCGAGAAACGCAATTTTATCAGCAAGACAATTCCTGTACAACGTGGTAAGCTGGACCGAGTATGCCCTGAAGGTGCGCAGAAGAGAGCCTTAATTAACCTGGCTAGGGCCCGAGGAGGCTTTGCCGGGGAAGGAACTAAAGTTGATGGGAAGCCCCCGAAAGCCATGCGCCGGTACCCTCCAAATCCTCTTCCCTCCCTTTCTTCCTGGCCTTCCGCCTGCCGGAGGCAACCTTTTGCGCTCCCCTACTACACCCATGCTGTGTACGTCACCTGTACAAAAGTGGTTTTCCCGGATCCCGCCATTCCCAACACCAACAGACACACTGGGTGCCGCGGACCCCCAGAAGCCTGGAGCTCAGCGGCAGCTGCGGACGCCGCCATCTTCCTCCTGGCCCCACCCACCCGACCATAGAGACACCGCATGGGTAGAGAAACTTCCGCAATGTTCTGGGCTGCGAACGAAAACCACCACAGCGTCAGAAAGGAGCGGGTGAGGGGCGCGGCGGTTGCCAGGGCATCTTCTTAGCGTCGGGCAGGGCTGATGAGTCAACTAGTGACAGTGGCGAGGAAGTGGGGGCGCTGAGCAAGCGAGAGGAAGGCTGAAGGGAGCTAGGAAAAGGGCGCTGATCTCTGCAGCCTGGGAGGGCTTTTGTCTCCCGGAGGAAGGCCAGAAGAGATGGGGTCCCGAGGGCAGGGCTCACACAGCAAGAAAACGAGGAGCATGCCTGTCATTTTGAGCCCACAGAGAACGGGGAGCGGAGCCACTGGAGGACCGGCTGCTCGGGCTTATTCGGTAGCCGAGGCGGTTAAACAGTTCAGGGCTGGACCAGCCGGGACTGGAGCAGGGTGCAGTCTCCAGGGTTGCTGGGCAGCACCGAGACCCTTTGAGCACCGAACGAATAAACTACGGGAGCTTTCCACACTTGCACATTGTTCCCGCGAGTTGCAGACGCAGGTTCCTGATGCTAGCGCTCATTCCTTGGCAGTCACCCTCAGTGAACTACACAGTTGCCGTGACCTTCAGGATGAATGCTTGGATTCCAGGTGCAAGTAGGTACTGGAGGGGAGCTTCCTCCCCTCCAGTCACTGAAGGTCCCTCAGAAACTCAGGAAAGATGATGAAAGAGCCTAGAAAATTATTTCTACTCCTGACCACCCAGTCTGTTTCTGTGACCCTTTGTAGCTGCAAACAGTGTTCAGTAAGTCATAAGATCTGGCTTTAATACCCAGGCTCTGCCACTTGCTAGTGGTGTGAGTCATGGGCAAGTCACTTAAACTCTCTGAACCTGTTTTCTCCTTTTTTAAAACTGAGGTAATACCTCCCAGGGTTGTAGTGAATGCACGTTGTAAATGACGAGCTACATTCCTCATCCTTTACCACTAGCTGGATTCCCCACACCTTGCATAATGTCTGGAACATTCTGGTGCTCAGAAATATTCTCTTGTATGAATGAAGGACAGTTGTGCACTTACTTCCTAAAGTTTCATTAACTGACAGAGGAATGTCTCGTTTGTTCTTTCAGGTTTGCTGAGGGCCCCAGAAGGCTCCTTCCACCGTATCATAGTCTAATAAATAATTTTGTCAAGCCAGAGAAGCTAACAAAGGTAGAGACAAGGCTTAAAGAAAAGATAGTGGCGGAAATGACGGATCTGAACAAGCATATAAAACAAGCTCAAACCCAGCGGAAACAGCTACTGGAGGAATCCAGGGAGCTACACCGAGAAAAGTTACTTGTCCAGGCTGAAAACAGATTCTTTCTGGAATACCTGACTAACAAAACTGAAGAGTACACAGAGCAACCTGAGAAGGTATGGAACAGCTATTTACAAAAAAGTGGAGAGATTGAACGAAGAAGACAAGAATCAGCCTCCAGATATGCAGAACAAATTTCAGTGCTTAAAACAGCGCTCTTGCAAAAGGAAAATATCCAATCCAGTTTGAAGCGGAAGTTGCAGGCAATGAGGGACATTGCTATATTAAAGGAAAAGCAGGAGAAAGAAATACAGACATTACAGGAGGAGACAAAGAAAGTCCAAGCTGAGACAGCTTCAAAGACACGGGAAGTACAGGCCCAGCTCCTCCAGGAGAAAAGATTACTGGAGAAACAACTGAGCGAGCCAGACAGGAGGCTACTGGGAAAGAGAAAAAGAAGAGAGCTTAATATGAAGGCCCAGGCCTTGAAGTTGGCAGCAAAGCGGTTTATTTTTGAATACTCCTGTGGCATCAACAGAGAGAACCAGCAGTTCAAGAAGGAATTACTGCAGCTAATTGAGCAAGCCCAGAAACTAACGGCTACTCAAAGCCACTTAGAAAACAGGAAGCAGCAGCTGCAGCAGGAACAGTGGTATCTGGAGTCCTTAATCCAGGCGAGGCAGAGACTGCAAGGAAGTCATAATCAGTGCCTAAATAGACAGGATGTTCCAAAGACCACACCCAGTCTTCCCCAAGGCACCAAATCAAGGATTAATCCAAAGTAACTTCTAAAATAACACTGATTAAATAAGAACTGGAGCAAGTACTCTTAAGTGCTACATTAACCTGGTTAGAAAGGCTGTTGGATTCCAGATTGCTATTGTAAAATCTCCATCATGATGTGTTGGAGTGAAGGATTAGATGGTTTTATCCAACAGTCCTACTAGATATTTGGTAACCAGCTTCCCTTAACTAGCTTTTTCTTTAAATACTCGTTAATAAGCTATTCCACAAACCTCCAGTTAACCTAACACATGACCCTAACCTAGCCATTTACCATACATCAAACTAGCTAAAGGAAACCAACCTAAGGAAGTGAAAACAGTTGTGATTTATTTCATCTAGCTAAATTGTATTTCTTTATAGAGAAAGTACCTTTAAGGATAGCATTCCAAATAGACTTTGAATAGCGTTCTGCCAGTTTATCCTCATTCCTTTTGACCAACTTAGCAGACAAAAGCAGTTTTTACAAGCTCTTTGTGAGTTTGTGCCAGTGACCAGGTAGCTCCTTCTAGTTTTCTCATGAGTGAAAAAGCATTCTGATAACAGCAAGTCCAGTAAGTGCTAGGCAGAGTGACCTTTCATCTGATGCTAAGCCCCTACAAGTTTGAGAAGGTAAGAAAAGATGAAGGAGACATATATTAGGTCAGCTCTTACTTTTGAAAATGTTTTATTTGAAGAAACACCTGTAGCATTGAGGTGACTGAATGCCTCCACTTATTTCAGGAAAACGTATCCAAAAAAAGTTGAAATATTTGGACAACTTTTTTTTTAAGTGCCATCGATTTCCCTAGCAGCATTCTAAAAGATAGCAAGTAAAATGATGTTTGTTATCCTAAATGCTTTAGTTTTAGGTCATTTATTAATTTTCTTACAGGTGCACTTTCTAGTACATGAAGTATCCTTTGTAATTAATGTGTGCCATATGTTTATTCCCATTTAGTATAACTATAAATTATATTTTAAATTATATATTTTTAGGATAGTTATATTTTTTTTGGGTTCTACGACATTGAAGTTGGACTAGTGATTTATTTGAATGCTGAATCCTAGTATAGGGGAATATAATCTTATATTTTAACAGGGGTCCTCTATGGGAAAATAGGATGAACTTTGTTTCCCAGAAATTGTTAAGTGATGAAAAACTTCAAAATAATTTTCCTGCATTTTCTGCTTTATTTACATGTAAAGTGAATTCCCTGAAAATTGGATTTAAAAAGCATTCTCCTTCAATGTGCCTTTACCTTGTAGCTTTAACAACTTTTCTGTTAAATATGTAGTTTTTTATTAAACAATGTTATTAAATAAAAACATTTATCCACTGATTTTATTACTGTTCCAATGTAACACATTTTCTACTTCATCACTCTTCTGTTACCACTCTTAAATGTCTTATTCACATGTGCAAATAATAAAAACTAGTTTTAATGCAGAAATTAGGATTTTAGCATACAGGTACTTTAACCTAAATCTCAATTTGTGAGCTGAAAATACAGAAACACTGAACAAGGAAAGCATGGTATCCAAGACAAACTTGAAGGCTTAGTCTCTGTGGACGTAAAAACCCTAAGACAATGTATTTCTAAGGCTGATAAAAAGTTGGAAAGTAGGAAGCATATTAGTTCTGTTAATTCCCCTCCTGCCACTGGTGTCCCAATTATCTAATTCAAGAGTGGGTAACTTCCACCTGATCTCAGTTCATTTTTACTTATCATCCCAGGTAATGGATATGGTATACTGCTTGTGGCTGTCCCTTCCAGAGTGAGGGCTTGAAGACATTAAAAGTTGAATGATAACTGATTTCATACCTTGAAATCCATACCTCTAAGTAAGCAGCAAGTTGGCCAACTAAGATTTCAATCTGCATTTTGTCTGCTTTGCTATTTAGAAAATTACACAGGGTTATGTTACAGAAAGTGAGTTTAGATGGAAAAGACCTCTGAGGTGAAATTTAAGACCTATGATTGCTAAAATGAAGCCTACAATGCAAAAACTGGGGAAGAAACTATTCTAGGCAGAGGCAACAGTGAATGCAAATGCCTTAAGATGGCAATAAGCTTGGTAGGTTCAAGGAACAGAAAGGTGTGTATGTAAAGTATAGTTGAGGAATGGTCACAGAACATGAGTGGAGGAAAGGAAGATGAGGCTATTAAGGCTAGCAGGAGTTTAGGCACCGAGGGCCTTTAGCAGGTGAATGAGGTCTGATTTACCTAATTTTAAAAACTACAACTGTTATGTGGAGTGTATCCAAGCCAGAAAAAAGTGGAAGGAAACCAATTACGAAGATACTGTAGTCTAGGCAAGAGGTAATGATGGCTTAGATTGGAATGGCAGAAGTAGAGTGAACAGATTCAAAATGTAGTTGGTGGTAGGCAGGACTTGCTAATGGATTTGCTATAAGAAGAGAGAGATGAAGCAAGAGTAAATTTCTAAAATGTTCTCTTTTAAGGAGATGTGCAGAATATTCTTTGTATTTTTTTAGACGGTCTCACTGTGTCACGCAGGCTGGAGTGCAGTAGTGTGATCACAGCTCATAGCAGCATCTTGACCTCCTGGACCCAAGAAGTCCTCCCATCTCGGCCTCCCAACTAGCTGGGACTATAGGTGCACACCACAATGCCCAGCTAATTTTTTTAATTTTTTTGTAGAGATGAGATTTCATCACATTGCCCAGGTTGGTCTAGAACTCCTGAGCTCAAGCGATCCTCCAGCCTCAGCCTCCCAAAACGTTAGGATTACAGGTGTGAGCCACTGTGCCTGGCCCCAGACATTGAGACATATTCATGATGATACGAGAAACCCTACTCAATTTTATAGCTTGTATAGTATTCTACTGTATGACTATATCACAATTTATCCATTCTGATAATGGATAATTATTGTGTATTAGAGTAGGCTAACAAAGAGACCCAAGAATGTATAATGTCTCAAATAACAGACATTTATTTCTTGCTCACTTAATAGTCTCAGATACATGTTCCTGGTTGGCAAGTGGCTCTCCTTCAACAGGTGATTCAGGGGGTCAAGATATCTTCCATTTTGTGTTCTTCCATCTCCTAGGGCCCCATCATCATCTGCATTTAGCCAGAAGAAGGGTAAAGAAAGCTTGGAGGTACACCCACTCAAAAGTTCTAACCTGCAAGTGGCATTCATCACTCCACTCACATTCCATGGGAGAGGAGTTAGCTGGCTTCTCCTTCACTAGAGAGAGTGGAGGGAAGGGGGATAACTAGGAAATATACAGTCTAGCCATTTGTTCTATAATCCCATAATTTGCAAAGGTGAAAGTAGATCTCTGATACTTGTTTTCAGTATTTCTCTACTGTAAACTGTACTGCAATAATCATTCTTTTTTGTGTCTCTTGGTACGCCTAGACAAAAGGAGTTACTCTGTGTATACCCAGGAGAGAAACTGCTAAGTCTTCGGGTACATATCTTCAACTCTGCTAGATACTGCCAAATCACTTTTGAAGTGATTGTACCAATTTGCATTCCAAACCATGTATGAAAGTTCATAATACTGTCAAACTTAGTTTGTTAGTCTAATGAATTTTTTTTAAAAAAACTTTAAAACTCAATACTGTGATTAGAATAGTCTATACTGAGTCCTGCTGATCCCTGGTCTTGGTCAGGAAAAACGAAAGGAATGCCTGCAAGAGGTCCCTGGATGAAACTGGGCAAGTTTCCTATACTAATTCACTTTAATCTCAAACTACTCATTTTAACCAGCATAATTCATGAACCAAAGAATTACTGAGACAACTGCATGTGGAATTTATTTCAAACTCACCCCCATCTCTAGCCATCTTCTTACCCCCATACAGTGTCAAGGAGTCATGCAGCAGGTCGGCGTCAAAGAACACTGGAAACATCTTTCTGAGAGTCATTTATTTCTTTTGTCATTGCCAAACATTCCCCAGGTCTTACTCACCAGAAATTAACATAGCTTCTTCATTTCTCCTCCCTGACAACCCTCATCTACTGAAAGGGCTTTAAGGGCACACTGCCAATGAAAATGCAGAGTGCATATACCATGTCCTTAACTTGTTTCAAAACTACCTATTCTGGCAGTATCCAATTCAGGTTTCAGTGCTCCCTTGTTTGAAAGTGGTCTTCACAAAAGCCCACATTTTAAAGCTATTTGGAGGAGCACAAAGAGTTAAAGTGGTAATAGCCTTTCAGAATTTGAAAAGGTAGTACTTGTCTATATCAGGTTCATTTTTTATGTGGCATATGCCACAAAATAGGCAAGAATATATAAGACCAATATTTACGCAAAATGGGGAAGAGAATCCAGAAACACGACAACAAAGCTGCTCTAACCAATGTTCCAGAGAAAGCCACCCTCAAAGAGAAATAACCCATTAAACATTACCAGATAGGCATGAGGTACAGAAAAAGAATTTTTCTTTCCAGCTCCAGATAAATATCTACATCTGGTGTCAAAGTCTCAGGATATAAAGAGGAGAGAACTCCATATATAAAAGAGGATAGGACAATATTCTCAGAAAATTCAAAAAGACAGAGGTTGGCTAAGGGGATGGGTGGAAACAGTGGGGCGTAGACTAACAAGTAAGGTAAAGTCCAGGGAGAAGGAATGCGCACCTTGGTTTTCCCTTAGTGGCACTACCAGGAGCACTAGGAGACTGTCAAAACATCAGGGGCAATGTGATATTTCTCAATTCTTAAAACCAAAGAAGCAAAAATAAGCTTCAGAGGGCAAGTGATCATAGCTATGGATGAGGCCTCGGGCTCCAGGAAAGTTGGGGCAGTATTTATTGCTGCTTCTACTTTCTCTTTCCTGTCATTTTAATGTTTGGGTCACTTTACTCCTAAGGTTGCTTTTCATGTCTGTGGGTCTAGTCACTGCTACTTGGTACAAAGCATTTCCCAGTATAAACAGCATAGGGTAGTTCTAGAGTTTTCATCCTAAATCCGTTTTCTTACTTTCAATCTTAAAACCATATTGAGAGGACAAACAGCCTCCATAAAGTTTTTTTCCCAAGGAGACAGAGTAATCTTATTATGTGAATGACAACAGTTCTAACTTCTAGACTTGTTATATCACAAATACAAAATGACAAATCAGTTATGGTTTTAAAAAATTAGTTTGGAATGGTTTCACAAGCTAGATGATGGAGCAGCTACTAAATCAATGGAGCTTCCAAGAACATTCTATACCCCAGGAAGGAAAGGACAACCAAAGAGGTTTCTTAGTTTTGTACAGGGCAAGAGGAGCCTATAGTTGGCCTTGAGAGGGAGCTCTTTGGGCAAGATAAAAAAACAAGAGGACTTGACGAGGAATAGCAGGAAAACCTACTAAAAGGGGAGGGGGGAATCAAAATGTAAGAAGGGAAGACAGTGAAATTTACACAGGAGGAAGGAGCTGAGAAAGTCACAGCCTTACACAAACAGCTGAAAGAATCTTCACTCAGTCCTCCCAGCACAGGTCCCCGTGACAACAGCATCACATCTGCTTTCCTAGGAGCACTTTTACACTGACTGCCTATTTCCTTCCTCGTTTATGATTAGTCTTTGGGGGCTTTACTTTCTGGAACTGTGCTGGCACTGGCTCCTGCTCTGGTTCCTTACAGGAGGCTGACACTACCAGTTCCTCATTATTCCTCCTCTGATCCTTCCCTACTCTAAGACTCAGCTCTGTCTCGGGAAGCTCAATGCCAGGCTGCTGCCGCCTTCTTAGAGACCTTCTGCTCCTGTGCTGCTGCCTCCGCTTTTCTTCTTCTTGCTGCCGCTGCTTTATCTTCATCAGCTTTTCAAAGCTTTTGGTTGTTGTTGGGTTTACAACGAACCAGTCCTAGAGAGGCAAAATAGAAATGTCATCCAGTCGAAAATATAGTGAAGAACATAAAGAAAGGTGGAGGAAGAATGGAAAAAAGGCATGATTAGGGCAGAACACAGTAAGAAGGAAACAGATATGGAACCATACCTCAGGATTCTATATTTTAAGATGGAGAAATCCAACACAGAGCAGCTATTACAAGCACATATTTTGTAAGGCGTAATTCTAGGGACTTTAATAAATGATCTACAAAGTCTGTTTACTTAGCATCATCCCACTCTTATATCTCCTGAGTATAAATCTCATCATGAGATGTAACACACTGAGCCATAGGAGATTTTTATTCCATGACGGCATCGTAACTAAGAGCATAAATTTTGCAGCCAGACCCCCTGGGTGCAAATCCCAGCTCTGTTTCTAGATACGTGACCATGGGCGAATTACTTAACATTTTCGAGGCTCACTTTAAAAAATTAAGGGGTAGGGGACATGAAATCCAATTATGAAGTATTTTTGCCAAAAAAGAAAGAACTTCAATCTTATCAAGTGATCTGTTCAATCTTCTAAATCTACCAATTCATAGGAAAAGCCAGAATAGGGAGTTGAGCCCAATCTCTCTGCCCCACTGCAAGACTCCACTGCAGTGGTCCCTGTACCTCAAAAACAAACAACAACAACAAAAAGCAAAAAAGGAAATGGCCAGAATACAGGAATACTATCATAGGGTGCAATCAGCAAAATTCCAGAATGTGGGTACATGTATGTGACAAGTGATCCGGTTTCTTCAATAAATGGCAAATTTGTAAAAAAGAAGAGGAAGCTTTTAGTCTTGCACCATGCAATGAGATAGCCACTAGCCACATATGGTAAGTGATGTGTTTAAATGTGAGTAGAACAAATTAAGATATGCTTTCATGTAAAATATACAACAAATCTCAAAGACTTGTTATGAAAAAAATGTAAAATATCTCAATAATTTATTGATTTAATGTTAAAAATAATTTTAGATATATTGGGCTTAATAATTATTAACATTAATTTCATCTTTTAAAATACTTTTTTAATGTGGCTACTAGAAAATTTTAAATTATATACATGGCTCACAGTACTTTTTTTGGATAGTGCTGCTCTAGATTAAAACAAACAAATGCAATATTTAGACCTTGTTTTAGATCCTAATTTGAAAAATCAACTCTGAAAAAACATTATAAGATAATCAGGGAAATTTAAATAATAACTAGACATATGATAATATTAAAATTCTTAACTTTTTTAGGTATAATGATGTTTGTGGTCATATGTTTTCAAAAGTCCTTATCTCTTACAGATATATATTGAAAGAAGCACTTACAGCTGAAATTTTATGTGGAATTTGCTTTAAAGTAAGCCTTTAAGGGAGGAGAAAAGTGAGGTTATAAATGACACAAGATTGGCCATACACTGATGATTGCTGAGGATGGCTGACAGCATACTGGGTTCATTATGCTATTTTCTCTACTTTCATGTGTTTGAAATTTTCTGTTAAAAAAAAAAAAGTAGTGTAAGAAAATGTGATGGAGGGAGGAAGAAACAGGGTAAAGATGTTTTACCACCCACAAAATTCATAGAGGCATAAATCAATAAACAAATGCCTGGGAGCATGCCCCAAACCAAGTGAAATTTGTTGGTTCCAATTCTTTTGATTTTAACTTTTTAGGAAGAAAATAGACAAACCATTTAACTATATAAAGGCCAGATTTTGTCAGGAGATAATTACCTTTTTTTTTTAACAGAGTCTTGCTCTGTTGCCCAGGCTGGAGTGCAGTGGCGCAATCTCGGCTCACTGCAACCTCCGTCTCCTGGGTTCAAGCAAATCTCCTGCCTCAGCCTCCCAAGTAGCTGGGATTACAGGTGCCCGCCACCACACCCAGCTAACTTTTTAGTAGAGATGGGGTTTCACCATGATGGCCAGGCTGGTCTTGAACTCCTGACCTCAGGTGATCTGCCCGCCTCGGCCTCCCAAAGTGCTGGGATTACAGGCGTGAGCCACCGTGCCCAGCCGATAATTACCTTTTAAATACTTCCTAAAGCAAAAAAAGATATGCTATTATTACTAAAAAGATATGACTGCCTTCAGAAGACATCTCAGGCTTTGGTTAGGGATTCTGAAAGCTTATGCCAGTAAAGCAACAGAAACCAAATTTTATGGAAGTAATTAAAGCTCACATTGTTAAGTACTATCAAATTTGAGGGCAGAAAATAAATAAAGGTGTTCCCTTTATTTTTCCACATCAGGCAGCAATAGTTTCTGCAGTGAGATATTCCAAGAGAATGCAAATTGTATTCCTAAGCTGTTGTAGTAGGACTATTTAATTATATCATAAACGATTTCTCTGTTCACCTGTATTACTAAAAAACCTTCCCCAAGAGAAAACCCTTGACCTTCTGAACTTTAAAGCATTTTTATACACAATTTTAAAATTTTATTTTGAAAAATTACAAACCTTCAGAAAAGTTGCAACAGTTCAATGAACAATCAAATTTACCACTGTTAATTTCTTTCCTTCCTCTCTTCCTTCTTCCCTCCTTCTTTCTTTTGCTGAACTATGTGCAAATTAGTTGCAGACATCATAATACTTCATCCCTAAACACTTTGGCATATATCTGCCTAAGAACAAGGGCATTCTCCTGCATGACTACAACTATCACCTTTGGGAATGTTAACACTGACACAATACTATTATTTAATACAGTCAGCATTCAAATTTCCCCAACTGTCTCAATAATGTCCTTTAGTTGTTTTATCCAGTATTTTAAACAGCGTTAAAAATGGGTTGCTGGAAGACATTAGAATGCTAGAAGGCATGAATGTATAGAGATCACTGTGAAATAAGAATTTCAAACATGTAAACTCAATCTGGTTCCCAAACATTTGACTTAATTGGATTTAAAGGAATTAGAAGAGTTCAGGCCGGGCATGGTGGCTCACACCTGTAATCCTAGCACTTTGGGAGGCCAAGGCGAGTGAATCACCTGAAGTCAGGAGTTCAAGACCAGCCTGGCCAACGTGGCAAAACCCCATCTCTACTGAAAATACAAAAATTAGCCAGGCATGGTGGCAGGTGCCTGTAATCTCAGCTACTCAGGGAGTATTGCTTGAACCCGAGAGGTGGAGGTTGCAGTGAGCCCTCCAGATTGGGCAACAGAGCGAGACTCCGTCTAAAAAAAAAAAAAAAAAGAGTTCAAGGATGCTTACAGTCACAGTGATTTTTTTTTTTTTTTTGAGTCAGGATCTCTGTTGCCTAGGCTGGAGTGCAGTAGCGCAACCAGCTCACTGCAGCCTCAAACTCCTGGGTTCAAGTGATCCTCCTGCCTTGGCCTCCCAAAGTGCTGGGATTAGAGGCATAAGCCACCCCGCCCACCCCTCACAGTGACTTCAAATACTTTCACAGAAAAATACAATTATATATCTAAGTTTAGAGAATATTTTAACTCTAATGGCTCTGGTAACCACTTTAGAGATACTTTCCTTGACAGCCTTAGTCCATAACAATAGGGACAAAGTCTACCTCTCTTGTGGCTTACATATCAGGCCCACAGGATTACAAAAACCTCACCTCAGCATGGACGGAGTTGATGTGATACTTGACACCACTCTCTGACACAAATTCTTTCTGACATAGAAGACATTTGTATTTTCCAGCCACAAAGTTTCCCTATTTCCAAGAGAGAAACAAAAAAGAATTACTGGTAAATTCAGCAACATAACTGGGCTATGTGTAGGGATTGTTAGAGATGAAAAGAGGGAATTCTACTTCAGCAAAGATAAGAAGGAAAAAGATCCAATATAGTAATAGATTTAGGAAAACCAGCTTGGATGGATGATTATCAACATAAATCCATCCTAGTGCAATTCTGTTCCAATCACCCACCCTACTTCAACACAACCTGAAAGTCTCCTACTTTTTCTCAGGTAATATGCCACATCTTTCTACCTTCCTATGTTCCTTTCACTTCACTTCCAGGTTGTCTTGGTTCCTCCCCCAAAATGATCAAATGCCCAAAATTCACCAGAGGCACCAATGTACAATTCTTCCCACTATGATCTACTGTCGCAAAAAGTGCCTTCAAAATCCAGAATTAGAAGAGTACCATCCGTAATACCTAGTTTAAGGACTCAGAAACTAGGATCAAGATGACAAACTCCTAAGCATTCCTAGACAGATCTGGTTTAGATGCCTACAACTCCCTTGTTGCCTTGAACTGAGACTTCTCTCCCCTCCTGAAGCTTCAGGTTTCCATGGTGCTCATTTTGTGTGAGGAGATTGGAAAATGGCAGCAATTCCCATGGCTGGTAGGTTGTAGGACACCTGGGTCAACATGGAAAAGATTCAGTGAGGTGAATGGCTGTTAGCCTGACACCCTATCCCACCTCCCATCCCGAGAGGCCAGTATGGTTCAGATGGGTATAGAGGATCTTTACCAATCCAGGTAAGCACATGTAAGGTGATTCTACAAAGTTTTAGGCCCACCTAAACAGGGCAGGCCCAGTGTAGGAGATGCTCAAATGCAAGGAGCTGAATCTCTTAGAATTCAGGGATAGGAACTCAGAACAAATATATGTTTCTTCCAATTCCTTTAAATTGATAATGACTTGTGACTATGGTGATCTTTTCTAAGTCTTGGACATGCCCTGGCATCCCACCCAATACCAGACCAAGAATCTTAGAGACATAAAAATCTAAAGCAGCCTCTGAAGATAATGGTAAACAGGACAACTAGCTGTTCACCTAAACTGAATTCTCTTCCATGTCAGACTATTTTAGAGGACATGTTAAGATAGTAAGTTTAAAAAGTTACAAACCAATGTACAAGAGCCCAGGTGAGCTTTAAGGCCAGATACACTGCTGTAGACAGCCTCACAGCCCTGCAAAAGAGAAGAAATAGTATGAAGACTATGCCAAATAGCTCCCTTCTCTGAACAATCTGGCCATTTACACTGACCAACTCCACATTTGAAGGAAGAAAACCAATAATTTGTGCCACAAAACAAACGAAAAAAGAATATACATGCAAGCCGCAAAAGAAGGAAAGCCAAGGAAAGGTAAAAAGAAAAGAAACAGAAGGTGAACAAGTTGTTTAGGAAAGATTAAGCCATTTCCTTCCCTCAGTACTTTCTCTGACACTTAAGAGAAACACAGAAAATTATATAGTTTTTTTTAAAATCTGCTTTATTTAGTGCAAATGTGTTCCCACTTCTTTTATATTTACTCCTCTGCAAAGTACTGAATCTACTATAGCTGTGATAGTTTAAAGATGGCTCTCTCCCTCATCTTGACTCTAGAAAATAAAAATATTTTTAGAATCGTAAAAATAAAGATGGCTGCAAATTCTCTTCCACTCTTGCCATCAAGAAGTGGAGTCTATTTACCCTTCCTGTGAATCTGGGTTAGTCCCATGATTCCTTTGATCAATAAAACACCATGGAAGTGATGCTGTGCAAATTCTGAAGCTAGATTTTAAGAGATCTGCAACCCTGCTTTCATGATCTCAAAATATTCCCTGAGAAGTCAGTCACTGTGTACCCTGCTGGTAGCCCAGCTACTCTGCTAGAGAGAGAGGCCATATGGACAGCCAAGCTCCCAGATAAATGCAGCTGCACAGAAACCATCTTGAACATTCCAGTCTGAGTTTCCAGTTGAACGCACTTTTATGAGCGATTCCAGCTGATGCTACATATCGCAGGAGAACTGCCCTGCTGAGCCTTTACAGAATTATTGCTCTATGGAATTGTGAACAAATAAAATAATTGTTTTAAGCCACTGAGGTTCAGGTACTTTGTCATGAAGGAATAAATAACAGAAGCAAGAGCAGATGCTTGATAAACATTTACTGAATAAATGAATGAGAAAGAACCACCTGGTTAGGACACTGAATACGATGATATTTCTTGATATCTGTCTTCCATTTATGTAGTACTTCCTGGCTGAAGGTAGGGAGCCCTGGACGAGTATATTTTAACTACAAGACAAGACAACCAGAAACATTAGATAAATACAACTCCCAACCAAAATATCCCAAAAGTTTCACACCCAACTCTTTAGGTTATATAATTCTGAAATCTATACTCTTGTACACAAAAAAACTGTAAGATATAAGACCCTATAAAGTACCTGAAACTGATAAGTGTAATGGTCTATTGTTTGTCTTAGAAAAGTTTGATTTTTAACAGAGGACAAGAGACTCAGATATAATACTTCACCTACAGTTTAAAAAGAAAAAAAAGCTACAGAGTACTACATAGAATTAAAATATGTGTTAAAAAAGAAAGATTCATAGGTTCTAATGATTAGGAAAGAAAAAAATAAATTTAAAAAAAAAAGAGAGGGATACAAATTCGCATTCGTGTACTCAGTCATAGAAATAAATGTAGATGAGTAAAAGGTTAGAAGTGTATAAATCAAAATATTAACAGTGGTATTCTCTGGTTGAATTTTTTTTTTTTTTTTTTGAGATGGAGTCTTGCTCTGTCGCCCAGGCTGGAGTGCAGTGGCACGATCTCGGCTCACTGCAAGCTCCGCCTCCTGGGTTCACGCCATTCTCCTGCCTCAGCCTCCTGAGTAGCTGGGACTACATCTCTGGTAGGATTTTGAATCATTTTAATATTTTTTCCTATTTATCTGCATTTCTAATTTTTCTTCAATTATAACATGGTAATTTTGGTATTTTTAAAATTCTAAAACAAAAAAATTAAGGTTCAACATAAAACAGGGATGTGAGAGAAATCACGGAATAGAATACATAATATCTGCTTATACTTCAAAAGTAGAATTATTTCTAGCACTTCTTTTTACAGGCTTTGACATGAGTTGATCTCTCCTTACAACTACAACTAGAGTTTCCAGAGAGGAGAGAGCAACCTGCACAGACAGTTCTTGCAAAGTCCACCATGGGTAAATAGCTATATTTCTGGTGAGTAAACAATCTTTCTGCTTTGACAATGGAAGTATCTGAAAAGAAGCTGATTCTCTGCGACAAAAAAACACACCCAAAGCCCATAAAGGTAATGGAGGAAGTAAGGAAGGTAGCCCGAAGAACCTCTGGTAAATCTATAAAAGAATAGGGTACACAATACTTTTATAGAGTACAGAAGTGGCTTTATTTATAAGCATTTAGTCTCCTCTGAAGCTAGTGTAAATGGGCCTATCTAAAATCTTTTTTACAGCTCCATAGTACATAGTTTATATAAATATAATTATAAATGTATCATATATGATACATATTTACTATCATAAATATGATAGTAATAAACTATCATATTAGTAATAGTAATAAACTATCACATTTATGTAAATGAAGTACTATCCAGCTATAAAAAAGATGAGGATGATTTCTATGAACACATGTGGAGTAATTTCCAGGTTACACAGTTGACCCTTGAACAACATGAGTTTGAACTGTGCAGGTCCACTTATATGTGGATTTTTTCAACCAAACAAGGATCAAGCATACTGTATTCTCAGTACACAAAACCCATCTATACAGAAGACCACTTTTCATATACACAGCCTTGGCAGGGCTGACTGCGGAACTTAAGTATGCACAAATTTGGGTATTCACAGAGGTCCTGGAACAAATGCCCCACATGTACTGAGGGACAACTGTATATATATATAAATTTTTTTTTTTTTTTGAGATGGAGTCTCGCTCTGTTGCCCAGGCTGGAGTCCAGTGGTGCTATCTTGGCTCAATGCAACCTCCGCCTTCCAGGTTCAAGCTATTCTCCTGTCTCAGCCTCCCAAGTAGCTAGGACTACAGGTGTGCGCCACCATGCCCAGCTAATTTTTGTATTTTTAGTAGAGACAGGGTTTCACCATGTTGGCCAGGATGGTCTTAATCTCTTGACCTCATGATCTGCCTGCCTCGGCCTCCCAAAGTGCTGGGATTACAGGTGTGAGCCACTACACCCGGCCACAACTATATTATTAAGTGAAATAAAGCAGAGTATCAAAAAAATTATCTGTAGTAAGAAAGAAGGGGATATAAGAAAATATACATGTATCTGATGATCCATCACATAAAAATACAGGAAGGATAAACTAAAAACGAATGAGTTTGGTTATCTTTGGAGGTAAGTGGGAACACAGTAGAAAGAAAAGGGGAATGGGAATGGAATAGTTGGGATGAGGAGTAGTGACTCAGAACATATCTCTTTGAATAGGTCTGATTTAGAACCATGGTAGTTTCATATACTCCCAAAATAAATGAATAGTTACATTAAATAGGATGTAGGGGAAACCCAAAACTTAATAAAAATAACACATGAACCTATTACAAATAAATGACACAATGATGGGGGCAGGGAAGAAAAAACTAACCTCAGTAACTTTGGAAAATACTATTTTCACTACATACTGTAAGGCTCAAGATGAAAAGAAGTATACGCAAATACAGAAAATTTGTTTTTTACAAGGGAATAAGTTGGTAATTCTGAAACTATTTTATATACTACTAGAATTGAGTAAATAAGTAAATATACTGTGGATAATCAGAACCACGTTTCTCACTGTTGGAGAAAGAAGTTACAAATAAGGAAAAAGGAAGGCTAGAAGGAAACTTGTGGTGTTGGATTGGAAATGAAGGTCTCATGGCTTTTAATATACATACAGATAGACAGCCATAAAATAAATATGGATGTGTATGTGTGCATGTATGACTATACATGCCTTTATATCCTAACTCTATCCACCAAGAAGGCACAGAAACAATGACACTCCAGTAGAACTAGCACTTAAATGTTCACTTCTAAATATATTCTTTAATAAAAGGAACCAGGATTCCTTAGAGAAATGGTTGATTCCAGGGCTGGGGCAGGAAAAATGGAAGATAAGCCTACGGCCTGTCTTATCATGTCATAAAGTAAAAAATCTTCTCAAAAAAGGATAGGGGATGTCAAAAAGACACAGGAGCCCACTTGAAAGAGCGCTCAACTGCCAAATCCAGGACACATTGAGCAGCAAAATAAATAATAATAGCATTGGATTATAACCCATGGAATAAAATAAACATCATTGAGTCTTTACTTATACAAATAGAGAAAAACAACAGATCTTTTCACAGTAGAGTTCTAATCAATAATTATAGAAAAAACGATGGAAACTGAAAATCATTATGTAAACATCACAGGCATAACTGTTACAGGCGGCCACGCACGGTGGTTCATGCCTGTAATCCCAGCACTCTAGGGGGTGGATCACAAGATCAGGAGTTCGAGACCAGCCTGGCCAATATGGTGAAACCCCGTCTCTACCATAACTACAAAAATTAGCCGGGCGTGGTGGTGCACACCTGTAGTCCCAGCTACTCAGGAAGCTGAGGCAGAAGAATTGCTTGAACCCGGGAGGCGGAGGTTGCAATGGGCCGAGACCACGCCAATGCACTCCAGCCTGGGTGACAGAGTGAGACTCCGTCTCCAAAAAAAAAAAAAAAAATGCTACTGGCAAATATTGTCAATGGATGCTAATCTAAGAAGGCAACAGTATGATAAGAAACAGGATATGTGCATATTCCATCTCCCCACAAAATATCCACTAATTACAAATGGGAAGATTATAGTTTTGCCATTGAGATACTTAGAAAACACACCCTAAGCAACTGATCAAAATTATCATCATCAGTAAGAGACATATCAACATCATATACCTTTTGATATGATACATGGAGAAGGGCCAACATGCTTCAGTGGTATTCTTGCCAAGAATACCACTGAGAGTCATGATACTCTCAACCTAATCTTGAGAAAGTATCATGCAAATCCACACTGGGGAACATTCTACAAAATAACCAGCCAGTTCTCTTCAACAGCATCAAGGACACAAAAGACAAAGCCAGGGGAACTATAACAGATTGGAAGAGACTAAGGAGCCACAGAAATGAAATAAAATGTGGTATCCTGATAATATCCTAAGATATGGTTATGTAAGATGTTGGCATTAGGAGAAGCTAGGTGAAGAGCATTTGGAAACTCTGCTAACTAGTCTAAAATTATTTCAAAATTAAAAGTTTTTAAGAAAGAATATACATTGCTTATATGTACATCAAGAAACAGTGGAAAGATGCACAAGAAGCTAATAAGAATGGTTAACCATGGGGACAGGACAGAACAAGGACAAGGTGGGAGTGGGCTAATTCAAGGTTTAGCATCATTTTGAGTTTTTGAACCATTTGAAGAATATGTTATCTACTCAAAAAGATTAAATTTTTATATTTAAGAAAGAATAATGCCTTTTATCTATACGCTGTCGAAAATATAAACCAGGCCACGCACAGTAGCTCACGCCTGTAATCCTAGCACTTCAGGAGGCCGAGGCAGGCGAATTGCCTGAGCTCAGGAGTTTGAGACCAGCCTGGGCAACATGGCAAAACCCATCTCTACAAAAAATTAGCCAGGCATGGTTGTATGTGCCCGTAATCCCAGCTACTTGGGAGGCTGAGGCATGAGAATCACTTGAACCTGGGAGGCAGAGGATGCAGTGAACCGAGATCACGCCAGCACTCCAGCCTGGGTGACAGAGCTAGACGCTGTCTCAAAAAAAAAAAAAAAAAAAAAAAAAAAAAAAATATATATATATATATATATATATACACACACATATATATACACACACATATACACACATATATATACACATATACACATATATATATATACACATATACACATATATAACCTATTTGATGATTTTAGGAAAGCCTCTGCTAGATGAGAATACCCAACTTTATCAATGAGTTAACAAATATTTATTTATTTATTTTTTTTTTTTTTGATACGGAGTCTTGCTCTGTCACCCAGGCTGGAGTGCAGTGGCACAATCTCGGCTCACTGCAACCTCTGCCCCCCGGGTTCAAGTGAATCTCCTGCCTCAGCCTCCCAAGTAGCTTAGAGTACAGGCAAGCACCACCATGCCCAGCTAATTTTTTGTATTTTTAGTAGAGATGGGGTTTCACTGTGGTAGCCAGGATGGTCTCAATCTCCTGACCTCGTGATCCGCCCACCTTGGACTCCCAAAGTGCTATGATTACAGGCGTGAGCCACCACGCCCGGCAACAAATATTTATTTATTTATTTATTTTTATTATTATTTTTTTGAGATGAAGTCTTGCTCTGTGGCCCAGGCTAGATTGCAGTGGCATGATCTTGGCTCACTGCAACCTCCGCCTCTCAGTTTCAAACGATTCTCCTGCCTCAGCCTCCCCAGTACCTGAGACTATAGCTGGGACTACACATGTGTCCCACCTGGCTAATTTTTTTTTTTTTTTGAGACAGATTTCTGCTCTTGTTGCCCAGGCTGGAGTGCAATGGCACGATCTTGGCTCACTGCAATCTCTGCTTCCCAGGTTCAAGCGATTCTTCTGCCTCAGCCTCCCAAGCAGCTGGGATTACGGGCACTCGCCTCCACGTCCAGCTAATTTTTGTATTTTTAATAGAGAAGGGGTATCACCATGTTAGCCAGGCTGTTCTCAAACTGCTGACCTCAGATGATCGGCCCACCACGGCCTCCTAAATTGCTGGGATTACAGGTGTGAGCCACTGTGCCCAGCCACTAATTTTAAAAATATTTTTAGTAGAGACGGGGTTTCATCATGTTGACCAGGCTGGTCTCGAACTCCTGACCTCGTGTTTCACCCACCTCAGCCTCCCAAAGTGCTGGGATTACAGGCGTGAGCCACTGGGCCCAGCCAGTTAACAAATATTTAAATTTCCTTATGATATCCTATGCGTACTGAAACCTGACTGTAATATCATGAGATAAATATCACTGTGCAAAACCCACATTTAAATTGGATTTAGATAGCCATGTACTTTAGCCTGTAGCAGGCAAAAAAAATGTAGAAATAAGTCCAAAACAAGAAAGTATACTCTAATATTCAAAAATACAATCCAACTCCTTGGACACCAGTAGTGTCCACCAGGAGTGCACACCTACCACTCTGGACTAATTTTTAGACCAAAAAAGACATAAGTGTTAGAAACTAGGGTTTGACCTTCTTTTCTTTTCTTTTCCTTTTTTTTTTTTTTGGAGACAGAGTCTCACTCTGTCACCCAGGCTGGAGTGCAGTGGTCCAATCTTGGCTCACTGCAACCTCCACCTCCCGGGTTCAAGCGATTCTCCTGCCTCAGCCTCCTGAGTAGCTGGGATTACAGGCACCTGCCACCACACCAGGCTAATTTTTGTATTTTTAGTAGAGAGGGGGTTTCACCATGTTGGCCAGGATGGTCTCGATCTCTTGACCTCATGATACACCCACCTCAGCCTCCCAAAGTACTGGGATTACAGCCTTGAGCCACTGTACCCAGCCTTATTTTCTTATAAGACATAACATTCCTCTCACATATGTCAGAGCCCTATGCCAAATGTGAACTTCTTGATACCCTGGAGAATAAGAGACCCTTTGCTCCTCTCTTACTTCTTATTATGTATCCCTTCAACCTGTTCCCAAGACTATCCGATAGTCATATATCCTTGTCTTCTTTTGGCTAAATAAGGCCCCTTCTTCTATGATCTATTCTAATAGATTCTAATAGATCCAAGGGCTTCCAAACAGGTTCTGCACCCCTCAGAAGTATGCTTGGGGCCGTGTAGGGGAACAATAAAAGTATCAAGAAGAAGAAGGCCAAGTAGACAAGGCTTTGGGCTCACTACTCACAGCTACTCAAAGCAAATCTGTTTTTAAGTTATTTTATATACTGGTGTTTTGCATAGGATTTTATTTTGAAAAAAGCGGGGGAGAGGAGTTCTGTTACTACAAAACAAACTGAAACCATTTATCTCAACTAAATATAAACTACTACATATGACCTAGCAAAACAAAAACACATTACACAAATATCTAATCTAAGAATTCAGGTTCCCTCTGGAAGTAGTCCAGAATTAAGAGGGCTCTTTAAGGAACTTATGAAACAGACTGTCACTCTAGAACCTAACTGAATCCAAACACCGAAGCTAGATCAGATGTACTCTATCTCCAAAGATAAACAAACAAAATACTGCCTATCACGTACTTCCTCAAGTGCATTTACTTCTCTGTGTACAGTAGGCACAACGTTAGACATAATGGTTCCCAAATTGATACATGTTTCTGCCTTACCTTTCGATCATCAGGTACCAGGTCCTGAAGCACCTTCCTCTTGGGCCATTCCTTGGCCAGTTCAGCAGAGGCCAGCTCCTGTAGGTGGTATACAGCTATCTTGGCAGAACGTCTCTGAACTCGGCCCCCACTCTTTGACTCTAGGTTCATCTCCTTTAAGCACTCTGGCTGTCCTGACTCTGGAAAGAAGGATATCTGCAAGAATGAGACACAGCAAAACACAGGCCTGATAAGTGGCATCCATCACAGCCAGTGATTAAAGGCTGAGCTTCCTGCTCTAAATATCAAAAGAGCTATGTAGTAGATTGCTAACCACTAGCATCAAGTTCCACCATATTAATGTATATTTTACTGGTAAAAAAAGCTTCTTAGGGCCAGGCGTGGTAGCTCACTCTTGTAATCCCAGCACTTTGGGAGACCAAGGCGGGTGGATCACCTGAGGTCAGGAGTTGGAGACCAGCCTGGCTAACATGGTGAAACCCTGTCTCTACTAAAAACATAAAAATTAGCTTGGCATGGTGGCACACGCCTGTAGTCCCAGCTACTCGGGAGGCTGAGACAGAAGAATCGCTTGAACCAGGGAGGTGGAGGCTGCAGTGAGTGAAGATTGCGCCACTACATTCCAGCCTGGGTGATAAAAGTGAAACTCTGTCTCAAAAAAAAAAAAAGGCCTCTTAGTGGTTAAAAGACACATTCGTATACAAAGAGACAAATCTTAACCCATCCCTCACACTATATATAAAAATTAACTCAAAATGGACCATAGCCCTAAATGTAAAACATAAAACTATAAAACTTCTAGAAGACAGCAAGGGAGAAAATGCGTGTGATCCTGTGTATGACGGTTTTTTGATGTGTCAAGTTGGCTGGGATACAGTCATCAGTTAGTCAATCAAACATAAATCTAAGTGTATTGATGTGAAGGTATTTTGTAAATGTGATAAAAGTCTATAATCAGTTGACTTTAAGTAAGACAGATCCAGCAGAAGAAGAGGCAGGAGAGATTCAAAGCATGAGAGACATCCAACCTGCTGTCTCTGACTTGAAGACAGCCATGAGCCAGGGAATGCAGGTGGCCTTTGGAAAGGGAGAATTCTTAGCCCACAGCAAATAAGGAAAGGAACTCCTGCAACTGCACGGAACTGAATTCTTGAACAATCTGAATGAGTCTAGAAACATGTTCTCTCACTAGAGCCTCTAAAAAAGAACAGCCCTACCGACACAGATTCCAGCCTGGTGAGACTCTAAGCAGAGGAACCAGATGAAGCATCCTGTAACTGGATTTCTGACCTAAAGAACTGTGAGATAATAAATGTGTGTTGTTTTAAGCCATTCAGTTTGTGGTGATTCACAGTAGCAACAGAAAATTATACACTGAGGGCCAGGCACAGTGGCTCATGCCTGTAATCCCAGAACTTTGGGAGGCTGAGGCAGGCGGATAACCTGAGGTCAGGAGTTCAAGACCAGCCTGGCCAACATGGTGAAACCCCATCTCACTAAAAATACAAAAATTAGCCAGGCACGGTGGCGGGCACCTGTAATCCAGCTACTTAGGAGGCTGAGGCAGGAGAATCACTTGAGCCCAGGAGGCGGAGGTTGCAGTGAGCCAAGATCGCACCACTGCACTCCAGCCTGGGCAACAGAGTGAGACTCTGTCTCAAGAAAAAAAAAAAGAAAGAAAATTATACATTGAGTTAAGCAAAGATTTCTTAGATATAAAAAAGCATTATCCATAAATGAAAAAATACATAAACTATATCAAAATTTAAAACTCTGTTCTTCAAAAGACAATGTTAAAAAAAAGATAAAGAACTTGTATCCGGAATGATAAAAAAACCCAGAATATATCCCAAACTTAATAAGACAACAAAAATCTTCCCCTCAAAATGAACAAAGGATTTGAACAGACACTTCATTAAAGACATACAAATCACCATGGTGTAAGCACATGCAAAGATGGTCAACAAGATTAAGCATCGTTAGTCATTAGGGAAATGAAAATTTAAACCACAGTTAAGTACTACTACGTACCTATTAGAATGGATCAAAAAATAAAATTGATAATAATAAATGTAGACAAGGATGCAAAGCAACTGGAGTGCTCATACTTCGCTGGGGGAATGCAAAATGGCACAGCCACTTTAGGAAACAATGCAGCAGTTTCTTATGAAGTTAAATATACATTAATCATATGACCCAGAAATCTCATTCCTAAGTATTTACCCAAGGGAAATTAAAATTTATTTTCACATAAAAACCTTTTTTGCCAGGTGCAGTGGCTCATGCCTGTAATCCCAGCATTCTGGGAGGCCAAAGCAGGCAGATCACTTTAGCCCAGGAGTTCAAGATCAGCCTGGCCAACATGGCGAACACCCATCTCTACTATAAATACAAAAATTAGCTGGGTGAGGTGGCACTCGCCTATAATCCCAGCTACTTGGGAGGCTGAGGTGGGAGGATGGCTTGAGCCCGGGAGGCAGAGGTAGCAGTGAGCCAAGGTGGCGCCACTGCACTCCAGCCTGGGCAAAAGAGCAAGACCCTGTTTCAAAAAAACAAAACACAACAATCTTTTCATTTTTTGTTTTTGAGTCAGGGTCTTGCTCTGTCACCCAGGCTGGAGTGCAGTGGCACCATCTCGGCTCACTGCAATCTCCGCCTCCTGGGCTCAAACCATCCTCCCGCCTCAACCTCCCAAGTAGCTGGGACTACAGGCGTGCACCACCCACACCCAGCTAATTTTTGTATTTTCTGTAGAGATGGGGTTTCACCATGTTGCCCAGCTGGTCTCGAACTCCTGAGCTCAAGCAATCCACCTGCATCAGCCTCCCAAAGTGCTGGGATTACAGGCATGAGTCATTGTGCCCAGCCCAAAAACCTTTGTGAATGTTTATAGCAGCTTTATTCGTAATCATCAAAAACTAGAAACAACCAAATGTTCTTCAACTGGTAAGCAGATAAACGACAAACTTGAAACATCCATATAATGAAATCCTAGTCAGAAAAAAAAAGGAATAAACTAATGATACATGCAACACATGGATGAATCACAAATGGATTATGGTAAATGAAAGAAGTCAGACTGAAAGGCTACATGCTGTATGATTCAATTTATATGACATTCTGAAAAGGGTAAAACTATAGGGTCAGAAAATAAATCAGTGGTTGCCAGAGGCTGTAGCTGGAGGAAAAGGCTGACTAAAGGGACACAAGTCAACTTGAGGTAGTGATGGAATTGTAAAACATCTTTTTTTTGTTTGTTTTGAGACAGAGTCTCACTCTGTCACCCAGGCTGGAATGCAGTGGTATGATCACAGCTCTGCAGCCTCAACCTTCTGGGCTCAAGTGATCCTCCCACCTCAGTTTCCCAAGTACTTGGGACTACAGGTGTACACCACCATGCCTGGCTTATTTTTTCATTTTTTGTAGAGACAGGGTCTCACTATGTAGCCCAACCTAGTCTCAAACTCCTGGACTCAGGCAATCCACCCACCTCAGCTTCCCAAAGTGCTGGGATTACAGGTGTGAGCTAAGGCACCCCGCCTAGTCTATGTGTTGAGTGTGATAGTGGTTACATGACTGTATACATGTGTCAAAACTCTTATAATTATGCACTAAAATGGTAAACATTACTATGTGTAAATTGTATCTTAACAAATGACTCTAAAAAAAAAGAAACCACAGGGTGGGAAACCTTGGAAATGTAATGAGAACAAAAAAATTTAAACCAAAAAAATGAGAGGAACCAGCTGGACAGATGCCCATAAAAGCTCTAGCTATGGGGGAATGCCTTTAGTTTTAAAAGTATAACAATGGGGCTGGGCACAGTGGCTCACGCCTATAATCCCAGCACTTTGGGAGGCCGAGGTGGGCAGATCACCTGAGATCGGGAGTTCGAGACCAGCCTGGCCAACATGGTGAAACCCCGTCTCTAATAAAAATACAAAAATTAGCTGGGCGTGGTGGCACGCACCTGTAATCCCAGCTACTCGGGAAGCTGAAGTAGGAGAATTGCTTGAACCCAGGAGGCGGAGGTCACAGTGAGCCAAGATTGCTCTACAGCACTCCAGCCTGGGCAACAGAGGGAAAGTCTGTCTCAAAAATATATAAATACATAAATTAATTAATTAATTAATTAAATAATGGGCTGAGCAGGGTGGCTCGCACCTATAATCCCAGCACTTTGGGAGGTCAAGGTAAGAGGATCACTTGAGGCCAGGAGTTTGCGACTGGCCTGTGCTACATAATGAGACCCCCGTCTCTACAAAAAATTAAAAACGAAGAATTAGCTGGGCATGTGACGCAAGCCTGTAGTCCTGGCTACTTAGGAGCCTGAGGCAAGAAGATGGCTTGAGCCCAAGAGTTCGAGGCTGCAGTGAGCTATGATCCCACCACTGCACTCTAGCCTGAGACAGCAAGATCTTGTCTCTTGAAGAAAAAAAAAAAAAAAAATATACACACACACACACTATATAAAAATATATAAGATATAAAATATATAATAATGAGTTTACTTCTGCCTGGACTATACTTTGAATTTTGATTTATCTAACCTAATAATGTTAAAAAGGCAGAAATAAGGACAAAGAACGAATAAAGAAGAGACAACACACAAGCATTCAGAGATTAAAAGAGGATACAAATGAGGAACCAAACACATATGGGAAGATAGAGGGGTAAGGACTCACCACGAAATACATCCCCACGCAGGGTATAGAAAGGAATCAGTACTCACAGGCCCATGCTCTGACCTCAGGTGATATGCAAGTCCAGCCTTCGACCTATATGGTTTTCCACAGTGGTGACATTTCAGGGTCATCTTTTCCAGCTCTGCAGCCCCTTTGCCACATTTTCTGACATGGTAGAGATATCCCATGATGCTGGTGAAGCTACTGGAGCAACTCTGAACAGAGGAGAGAAGCCTAAACTATAATCTTACATCTTTTGACATGATCCCTAAATTTCTAAACAGCCATAAAGCATTCACCACCACAAAATACAAATAGACCCTCTGATTTCAGTAGACCCTCTCCAACATCTCCCATCAGCACAACCCTTCCTTGTCTCTGGCCATCTTACTCTGATCAAGCATGATTTTCAATCAGCTTAGTCAGCCCTTGATAAACTATAACTGTGCATCTACTCTATGTCAGAGCTTTCTCCTTGGTCTGTGATCCAACCCCATCCCAATATCAAATACCCAGCAATATATACCAAAGTCCAGCACAGTGAGGGGTCACTGGGATCCTCTTCATCACATTAAAAAAAGGATGGTAAGGAAACCCCATCAAACAAAGGGAAGGGGGAGAAAAATAAATTTTTGGAAATAAGGAAGAAAATAAACAACTATTAATGATTCAAGAGACCAAGATAGTACAGAACTAGGAAGTCTACAATGAGGAAGAGAAGAAATGGAAAGAAGAACGAAAGACATTGACCTGAGAATTCAGGCAGAAGGAATTGCTGTCCTTGGGCCCTTACCTCACGCATGCACCTGAGCTTTCCCAGTCTCTTTAGAACTGTTCGGAGCCTTTCCCTCTCACTTGGCTCATCTATTTCATCTCCGGCTTTCAAAATGGGCTAGAAATCAAGAGAAGTAAACAAGAAGATGATTCATGGAAAAGATAAGACACAGGGAAAAAAAATATCAGAGGAGAATCAAGGATTGGACTGGCAGCTAAGCTGGTGCCAATGAAGCCCAAGTTTTCTGACTCCTGGTGTTCTCCATCTTCTCCTGGACAAAGGAAGTGAATATAATGGAAATAAGAGTTCTGAGCCTCTGACTCCCAAGATATGAACCTTTGGAGCTAACCTAAACACACAAATATTTATGGATTCACTGCAAAGGTTTCATTGTGCATAACTCTTTTATCAAAACGGTCTTCTTGCTAACACCCTTATAAAATCCCAAAGCCATCTGCACTGAGATATCTACACTCACATAAGTAAAAGACATCCAGGCCGGGCGCAGTGGCTCACGCCTGTAATCCCAGCACTTCGGCAGGCCAAGGAGGGTGGATCACCTGAGGTCAGGAGTTCGAGACCAGCCTGGCCAACATGGTGAAACTCAGTCTCTACTAAAAATACAAAAAATTTCTGGGCGCGATGGCTCACGCCTATAATCCCAGCACTTTAGGAGGCCAAGACGGGAAGATCACCTGAGGTTGGGAGATCGAGACCAGCCTGACCAACATGGAGAAACTGCCATCTCTACTAAAAATACAAAATCAGCCAGGTGTGGTGGTGCATGCCTGTAATCCCACCTACTCGGGAGGCTGAGGCAGGACAATCGCTTGAACCCAGGAGGCGGAGGTTGCGGTGAGCCAAGTTTGCACTGCTGCACTCCAGCCTGGGCAACAAGAGTGAAACTCCGTCTCAAAAAACAAAACAAAACAAAAAAAATTAGCCAGGCGTGGTGGCGCACGCCTGTAGTCCTAACCACTCAAGGGGCTGAGACACGAGAATCGCTTGAACCAGGAGGTGGAGGTTGCAGTAAGCCGAGATCGTGCCACTGCACTCCAGCCTGGGCAACAGAGTGAGACTCCATCTCAAAAAAAAAAAGACATCCAAACACTCACAAAAGACAGAAGACACTCTTACCAAACTATTATGATTTGCCATGACATGATACTTCATCCCTGCCAGTGAACGAAGTTGTTTCCCACAATGATGACAAGTAAACATTTCCTAGAAGGAAAAATACTGCTCAGTGCTAGGTTGTTCCACAGAGAAACAGAATGTCATGAAGTCCGACTCAAATGCTTTCATCTATGTCTCCTTTATTTCTCAAGCTCAATAGTCAATAAATCTCAAAATCCCAGAAACTCAGTGTCATGTCTTCAAGGGCAAAATAAAGGCAATTCACTTTTAAAATAATAAGAATTACCATTAACCAAATATTTGCCAAGTAATGGGCTAGGCATTTAGCCCTGCGTTACTTCTTTCTTATCCTCTCATGGACTACATAAGGTTTTTATTATTTTGTATTTATTATTTTTTCTCTATTTTACAAATGAAACTGAGGTCTACATATAAAAAGCTAAATGCCACACTAGTATGTGGCTAAGAGAAGATTCAAACCTAACTCTGTCAGATCCAAAGCCTATGTTTCCTTTATTATACAATGCTGCTTTTCATCCATTATAACCAGCATATCCAACATAGCAAAAGAAGTCTAAAGTTTGGGTAAAAATATCGTAACAGTTATGAAACGCCAAAATATCTAACCTGCTTGCAGTTTTCCATGTGTTTCTTTAAACCCTCTATGGTCTTCCTCCCCACTGCCTGGCAGGTAGGGCAGGAGACACTGCCTTTATCAACGATTTCTAAGTACCATTGCTCCTCCAAACTGCCTACAAAGGAGAGAAAGAAACACTTTGTAATCTGCAGTATTCTCCAGAAACAAAAAGCATAATCCCACGATTTAGGAAAAGTATCATAAAATGGTTTTTCCTTTTCCTGGTAGACTGCGATGAAGAGGCTCTTGCTGGGTATAACTTCTAAAAGTAGTATTTTTTAGACAGTGAAGAGTTTCTGAAAACTCCTACTCATTTCGCCATGATAAAAACCACCTGAGAACGGCTCCAAAGCCCAGTTGCTTCAAGAATTAGGCAGCAACATTTTTCACCACAGGATGTAACAATAGGATACTGAGAAACGTCACAGCCTGTCTGCTGAGTGATTCTTATGTGCCTGAGACTATGCTAAATGTTTTTATCCATTTAATTTTCAAAATAATTCTAACTGCCTTTATTACCCCTATTCATAGACAGGGAAACTGAGGCAAGAGGAAGTTAAATAAATTGAGGCAGGTCACAAAGTTAATGAAGAGCCAAAACTTGAGCAAAGGTCTGTCTGACTCCAAACTAGAGCCCTTAGTAACTGCCTCCTTAAAGAAATGCTTTAGTACCTCATTCCTTCACAGACAACACCAACAACAAATCAGAGTGTGAGAACTACATCCCTCAAAACTTCCAAAAGAAAACATACCTGCTGCATAAACTGGTGGTTCCTTCCGAATACGACGGGCCTGGGATTTGGGATTGGGCTGAGTTTTAGGCCGTTGCTTCCTCCCTGACATAAGACAGAAACTTGAAGCCCAGCATGTCACCCTTGCTAATACCAAAATCTCTTCCCTCTCCTCCTCTTCAACACCCTATTTCCCAGTCCCTCAACCGACTGACTGCCTAAGTCAGGACAGAATGAAAGGGTATAATGAGGCAGGATGGAGGCCATTCCCTCCCAAACAATTCAAAGGGCTCAGAGGTCACTGAAGGGCTCAAACTAAGGCTTCTCTTTCCTTTACCCTCAAAGAATAAAGCTCAGTCACCCAAGGAAAAAGAAGTAGCAAAGTTACTGCCTTACCATAAAGCTTATGCTTCTTCTGAGGAAATTCTCGATAGTCTTCATCTTCTTCCTGCCTGGGTTTCCTTTTCCCCTTGGCTGATACTCCACCTGACCCTGAAGTACCATACAAAAACAAAACAAAAACTCAGCACACTTTGTAAATGAACATCTAGGCCTGTCTTCAAAACATCATTCACAAGACCATCAAAAGGAAAGATCATCAGTGAACACAGGCCTCAGAGAAATGTCTGTGACATTTTTAGAGAAGTTGGTGTAACTTCTCATTAACTGACCCACTCTCCCTTTCTTTTTATATTGTTATCTATTCCAAATCATCCATTGTTCCTTATGAATAATAAGGGCATTCAAGCAATGTGTTTTGCTTAATCTTGACTTGAGGCTAACAAGAGGATAAGAATTGCTCAAGATAGAGGGCTAGCCACCAAGGACCCTTGAGATTGTGACGATCCAGAATATTCTCCCCTGAATAATCCTTACACCAGCCCCTAAATCATCAACAGAGGATCACACTAGAAGAAAAGGGGGGCCAGCCATGGTGACTCACATCTGTAATCCCAGCACTTTGAGATTACAGACTTTGGCCAAAGTGGGCGGATTACCTGAGGTCAGGAGTTCAAGACCAGCCTGACCAACATGGAGAAACCCCGTCTCTGCTAAAAATACAAAATTAGCCAGGTGTGGTGGCACATGCCTGTAATCCCAGCTACTCAGCTGGCATTACAAGCTGAGGCAGGAGAATCGCTTGAACCCAGGAGAAGGAGGGTGCGGTGAGCCTGAGCTCGAGTCATTGCACTCTAGTCTGGGCAAGAAGAGTGAAACTCCGTCTCAAAAAAAAAAGAAGAAGAAAAGGGGAATTCAAATACTACAAAGAGGAAAATCAAATGCTAAATATAATCTAGAGGAGTAAGATTAGCAGAATTTCACTCTATCACATAGCAGTTCATGAAGCTAATGGGACAGGATGCAATTGCCTAACACCTTAAATTTTTTTAAATCACTAATGAGAAACAAATATGTGGCATTTCATACTCTTTTTTTTTTTTTTTTGAGACGGAGTCTCGCTCTTTCGCCCAGGCTACAGTGCAATGGTGCGATCTCTGCTCAGTGCAACCTCTGCCTCCCAGGTTCATGCCATTCTCCTGCCTCAGCCTCCTGAGTAGCTGGGACTACAGGCGCCCACCACCAGGCCCCGCTAATTTTTTGTATTTTTAGTAGAGACGGGGTTTCACCATGTTAGCCAGGATGGTCTCGATCTCCTGACCTTGTGATCCGCCCGCCTCGACCTCCCAAAGTGCTGGGATTACAGGCGTGAGCCACCACGCTCAGCCGCCATTTAATACTTTTAAGAGGTATTTATAACAATCTCAAACTATAACTTTAGGAAGTGGCCCGTCTTCAGAATAAGACACTGATATTGATACCTTCGACATGAGAAGTAGCAGCTGGCTTGATTCTTCTCATCTTCATCCAGTAGGTAGATTTTCGGAAAGATGCTGGAAAATCACTCACTGGTTCACACGAAGATGCAGACGATGAACCACTTAAGGAGTCATCATGAGGGATAGTGTACTGGAAACTATTATCCTTTATGGAGCACTGGGTCCTGCTACTAATACAACATAAAAATATATACCACAAAGGAAGGTCTGGAGCAAAATTTCTATACATTCTTTTACATTATAACCAAGTTGGTTACCTCTGCAGAAAACTAAGAAGCCTGCTATAAAAACAGAATGTAAGTTGTAATCACCTAACAATAACAATAGTTGATCTAACACAACATGTACAATTATTATCACACTTCATTGTAATAAGAGTAAGCAGTACACATAAATGATCACTTTGCAGCCCAAGTAGACATTCCTTCCTAGATTCATCTAATAAAAGAAAGTAGGTGAAGCAATAAAGGTGTTCTATGACCCTTCAGAAGACTCCCTGGATTTGTAACCTGGTATGTCCCAGCCTCTCTCTTTCTCTGACAGAGGGATGGCAACTAAAGGGTATCTCTAAGGGAAAGGAATAGTCTGTGGGCCCTAATCTGACTCATCTTCCTTCTGCCTCAGCATTCTCCCTAAAACCTGATGCCCTATCTTATTTAGGCAACATGATACTTAGCTTCCACAGCTAAAGGATGGATGCTATCTTGCATGAATTAACCTGGCCAGAGATTTCTGGTATACAGCTGAATCCAGATTCCAAAATCTAAGACCAGTCAGTATGACAGCTAAAAAACATTACTCTGTAACTACAAAGCATCAGACATTCTTCTAGGTGGCTCAAGATGCAGCAGAGCAGCAGTTCTCCAAGAGTGGTCAATGGACTCCTAGAACCTCCCTTTTCCAGCTAAATACCTGTGAGGCCTACTTTAGATTTATGGTTCAGAAAGATCCTTCTGGCTGCTCTATGGAGACAGCCCATGGGAGAAAGAGTAAACAAAAGGAAAAAAGTTAACTTGAATTGGCAGATTCAAGGTAACACTTTAGATGTAGAGCTAATAAGAATTACACATAGAGAGGTTTGCTTATGACATCAGGGAGTTGGAAGTAACACAGTGACCATCCTTGCAAAATGTGATAGATGCCTACTATGGAATACTGTGCTGCTGTTAGAAGCAATAAACTAATTCTACACATAGAGACACGACCATAACTAAAAAGTATATTGTTGAATGAAAAAAGAAACAAAACAGTATCTCTAGCACAATGTCAGTTCAGCAAGCTAAAAACAAATCCACACATAAAGCAGCTTATTTTAAAGCTTATTTTTTAAAGGAGTCATAAATATTTAAGTGCAAACATCACACTTGTTTATACAGTTTCCTCTAGGAGGGAGGGGATGGAAATGGGGATGAGTAAACATAACAGAGACTGGTTATGTCAGTATGTTACAAATAGGGAAGAATGAGTTTCGGCTCTCCACACATGAGGTCCAATAACACAAATTTAATACACAGAAGTCCTGGCTCTGGAGGGGCAGCTAAGCCCACTAAGGCCCACCCCTCCTGCTCACTGGACTCTGTAAAACAAACAAAAACAAGTAAATTATGCAGGGGAGTCAAAGTTGGGAGAAGTGCCCCAAATGGGGTGAGTTTTCCAATTCTGTCTTTTTCCCTCAAGTAAGAATTTGCAATGAGGATGAACCCCACTTGCAGAGCAGCATAGGCAGCTTTAATTCTAGAAACTCCCTTCTTTCTTACCAGGTAAATCAGGAAAAAAGGTCCCTGTGGACCAGAGTTGGGGGACTGGGGGTGGGAGGAATGCTAGAGAGAAAACAGGCAAAAAAAAGAATCTCTTAATTCAATGTATGAATCCAAATAAGTCACAACTTAACCTTAGCCATGAATGTGTGGCATATACCCATACGTACCAGCCTAGCAAAGACTTTGAAAACCAAAATGAGATTTGAACTCTAATGTGACCCAAACCAAAGCAGCAAAAGCTTGGAGAACTGAAATAAGATTGGAAACACCTGCAGAAGTCTCAGACCAGCCCCTAAGCTATTCATGTTTGGGACAGCTCAAATCAACATAGCAAAGACATAAAGAACAGAACCGAGATTTTAACAAATGCCTCCAAAAGCAAGACAGAAGTTTTGGCCTGAACCTGAAGCAGGGTGGCCTGCTAAAACAGAAACGGCAACATTCCCCAGAAGAATTATAATAGGACCCAAAATCTACACAAAAAGTATTCACAATGATGAGGATAAATTCCAAAATTATGCAACACATAAAGAACCAGGAAAATGTGAGCAATTTTCAAAGGAACAAATGACCAAAACATGCCAGCCACAAGGTGATCCAGATTTTGGGACTATCAAATACTGTCAACAAAAAAGAAATACTTTCTTATAAAGAAAACACACAAGAAATGAAGGAAAAGGTGGGAATCATCAGCAGAAAAAGAAACCATAAAAAAGAACCAAATGAAATCTTAGAACTGAAAAATACAACATCTGAAATAAAAACTCATCAGATAGGTTCAGTAATAGAATGGAGATGACAGAGGAAAGAGTCTGTGAACTTGAAGACCGTTCAATAGAAATGACCCAGTCTCCACCGGGCACAGTGGCTCACGCCTGTAATCCAGCACTTTGGGAGGCCGAGGCAGGCGGATCACAAGGTCAGGAGTTCGAGACCAGCCTGATCAGCATAGTGAAACCCCGTCTCTACTAAAAATACAAAAGAATTAGCCAGGCCTGGTGGTGGGTGCCTGTAATCTCAGCTACTCGGCAGGCTGAGGCAGGAGAATCGCTTGAACCTGGGAGGCGGAGGCTGCAATGAGCAGAGATCGCGCCGCTGCAGTGAGCAGAGATCGCACCACTGCACTCCAGCCTGGGCGACAGTGCGAGACTCCATCTCAAAAAAAAAAAAAAAGAAAAGAAAAGAAAAAAAACCAGTCTGAAGAACAAAGAGAAAAAAAGATTGAAAAACATTCAACAAAACCCTAATACCAAACGTTTTAACTTAAGTGTAGTTGTAATCCCAGAGGGAGAGGCGAAAGATACTAATGCAGCTCTCGCTCTCCCTCTCCCCGCTCTCCTCCCTCTCCCTTCTTCGGTCTCCCTCTGTTGCCAAGGCTGGACCATACTGCCGTGATCTCACCTAGCTACAACCTCCCTACCTCGGGCTCCCCTGATTCTCCTGCCTGGGCCTGCCCAATGCCTGGGATTGCAGGCACGCGCCGCCACGCCTGACTGGTTTTTGTATTTTTGGTGGAGACGGGGTTTCGCCGTGTTGACCAGGCTGGTCTCCAGCTCCTGACCTCGAGTGATCTGCTCGCCTCCGCCTCCCGAGGTGCTGGGATTGCAGACGGAGTCTTGCTCACTCAATGCTCAATGTTGCCCAGGCTGGAGTGCAGTGGCGTGATCTCGGCTCGCTACAACCTCCACCTCCCAGCCGCCTGCCTTGGCCTCCCAAAGTGCTAAGACTACAGCCTCTGCCCGGCCGCCACCCCATCTAGGAAGTGAGGAGCGTCTCTGCCTGGCTGCCCATCATCTGGGATGGGAGGAGACCCTCTGCCCGGCCGCCCCGTCTGGGAAGTGAGGAGCGCCTCTGCCCGGCCGCCACCCCGTCTAGGAAGTGAGGAGCGTCTCTGCCTGGCCGCCCATCATCTGGGATGTGACCAGCGCCTCTGCCCGGCCGCCCTGTCTGGGAAGTGAGGAGCGCCTCTGCCCGGCCGCCCTGTCTGGGAGGTGAGGAGCACCTCTGCCCGGCCGCCACCCCGTCTGGGAGGTGAGGAGCGTCTCTGCCCAGCCGCCACCCCGTCTGGGAGGTGAGGAGCGTCTCTGCCCGGCCGCCACCCCTTCTGGGAGGTGAGGAGCGCCTCCGCCCGGCCGCCACCCCGTTTAGGAGGTGAGGAGCGCCTCTGCCCGGCTGCCACCCCGTCTGCGAACTGAGGAGTGCCTCTGCCCGGCCACCACCCCGTCTGGGATGTGAGGAGCGCCTCTGCCCGGCCGCCCTGTCCGGGAGGTGAGGAGTGCCTCTGCCTGGCCGCCCCATCTGGGATGTGAGGAGCGCCTCTGCCCGGCCGCCACCCTGTCTGGGAAGTGAGGAGCACCTCTGACTGGCCGCTGTGCAATCTTCCAAGTGTGAAGTGACAGCCTTTCTGCAGGTGTACCCAACAGCTCCGAAGAGACAGTGACCATTGAGAATGGGCCATGATGATGATGGCGGTTTTGTCGAAAAGAAAAGGGGGAAATGTGGAGAAAAGAAAGAGAGATCAGATTGTTACTGTGTCTGTGTAGAAAGAAGTAGACATAGGAGACTCCATTTTGTTCTGTACTAAGAAAAATTCTTCTGCCTTGGGATGCTGTTGATCTATAACCTTACCCCCAACCCTGTGCTCTCTGAAACATGTGCTGTGTCAACTCAGGGTTAAATGGAAAAAAAAAAAAAGAAAGAAAGAAAGATACTAAGGCAGAAAAATACATTTGAAAAAAAAAAGGTGGAAAATCCCCCACGTTTGGTCAGATATAAATTTACAGATTCAAGGAGCTCAACAAACACCAAATAGGATAACTCAAAGAAAAACATACCAAGATACATCTTTTTGTTTTGTTTTGAAACACAGTCTTGTTCTGTTCTCCAGGCCAGAGTGCAGTGGCACATGGCTCACTGCAGCTTGGACCTCTCTGGCTCAAGTGATCCTCTCACCTCACCATACCCGAGTAGCTGGAACCACAGGTGCACACCATCATACCCACTAAATTTTTGTGTTTTTTCATAGAGACAGGGTCTTGCTATGTTGCCCAGGCTGGTCCAAAGCACTTTTTTTTTTTTTTTTTTTGAGACAAGGTCTCACTCTGTCACTCAGGCTGGAGTGTAGTGGCTCAAGCACAGCCTCCACCTCCCAGGCTTAAACAATCCTCCCACCTCAGCCTCCTGAGTAGCTGAGACCACAAGTGTGTGCCACGGTACCCAGCTCATTCTTTTGTGTGTGTGTGTGTGTGTGTGTGTGTGTGTGTGTGTGTGTGTGTGTGTGTAGAGACAGGGTCTCACTTTGTTGTCCAGGCTGGTATCAAACTCCTGGGCTCAAGCAATCTTCCTACCTCAGCCTCCCAAACTGCTGGGATTACAGGCATGAGCCACGGTACCCAACCAAGACACATCTTAACGAAACTATTCAGCCAGGAAGGGGAGGGGAGACATGAGGGAGTGAAGAGAGGAAAAAAAGAAAAAGAATATAAATGTATCAGCCAGGCGTGGTGGCTCACGCCTGTAATCCCAGCACTTTGGGAGGCTGAGGCAGGTGGATCACCTGAGGTCAGGAGTTCACGACCAGCTTGACCAACATGGAGAAACCCCGTCACTACTAAAAATACAAAATTAGCTGGGCATGGTGGCACATGCCTATAATCCCAGCTACTCAGTAGGCTGAAGCAGAAGAATCGCTTGCACCTGGGAGGCAGAGGTTGTGGTGAGCCAAGATCGCGCCATTTGCACTCCAGCCTGGGCAACAAGAGCGAAACTCTGTCTCAAACAAAAAAAAAAAAAAAAAAAAAAAAAAAAAAGGTAAACATGGTAAATTATATGGGTATACTTTAACTCAATAAAAAATAAACTAGGCCAGGCATGGTGGCTCACACCTGTAATCCCAGCACTTTGGGAGGCCAAGGCAGGCAGATCACTTGAGGTCAGGAGTTGGAGACCAGCCTGGCCAATATTGTGAAACCCCACCTCTACTAAAATACAAAAATTAGCTGGGTGTGGTAGCGGGTGCCTGTAGTCCCAGCTACTTGGGAGGCTGAGACAGGAGAATCACTTGAATCTGGGAGGTGGAGGATGCAGTGAGCCGAGATCATGCCACTGCACTCCAGCTGCCCTGGGCTACAGAGCGAGACTCCATCTCAAAAAAAAAATAAAAATAAATAAATAAATAAAAAAACTAAGCTGGGTGCAATGGCTCAAGCCTGTAATCCCAGCACTTTAGGAGGCTGAGGCAGGCAGATCCCTTGAGCCCAGGAATTCAAGAACAGCCTGGGCAACATGGCAAAATCCTACCTCTATTAAAAATACAAAAAATTAGCCAGGTGTGGTGGTGTGCACCTGTAGTCCCAGCTACTCAGCAGGCTGAAGTGGGAGAATCACCTGAGCCCAGGAGGATGAGGCTGCAGTGAGCAGAGGTTGCGCCACTGCATTCCAGCCTGGGCAACGGGAGTTAGGCTCTGTCTCAAAAAAATTGTTTAAATAAATAAGAAACTATTCAAAGCCAAAGATTTTGTTTTAAACTAGAAAGCTTCAGAAAAGTGACATATTACATTACAGGAAATGATTTAAATGACCATGGGTTTCTCAACAGAAACCAAGAATGCCACAAGGCAGTACAGTATCTTTAAAATCGAACCAGTGTAATGGCTCACATTTGTAATCCCAGTACTTTGGGAGGCCAAGGCAGGGGGACTGAGCCCATGAGTTCAAGACCAGCCTGGGCAACATAGCAAGACCTTGTCTCTACAAAAAATAATTTTAAGGCTGGGCGCGGTGACTCGCGCCTGTAATCCCGACACTTTGGGAGGCCGAGGTGGGCAGATCACAAGGGCAAGAGATCAAGACCATCCTGGCCAACATGGTGAAACCCCATCTCTACTAAAAATACAAAAGCTGGGCGTGGTAGCATGCGCCTGTAGTCCCAGCTACTCGGGAGGCTGAGGCAGGAGAAATGCTTGAACCCGGGAGGCGGAGGTTGCAGTGAGCCAAGATACACCACTGTGCTCCAGCCTGGTGACAGAGCGAGACTCTGTCTCAAAATAATAATAATAATAATTTTAAGAACTTAATTGTACATTTTTAAATAACTAAAAGAGTGTAATTGGATTGTCTATAACACAAAGGATAAATGCTTGAGGGGATGGATATCCCATTCCCCATGATGTGATTTCACATTGTATGCCTGTATCAAAACATCTCATGTACCACATAAATATATATCCTTACTATGTACCCACAAAAATAAAAATAAAAAAATTTTAAAGCAATTATCCAGGTGTGGTGCCATGCAACTATAGTCCCAGCTACTTGGGAGGCTAAAGTGAGAGGATCCCTTGAGCTGAGGAATTTGAGGCTTCAGTGAGCTATGACCGCACCACTGCGCTTCAGCCTTGGCAACAGAGTGAGACCCTGTCTCTAAAAAGAAAAAAGAAAAGGAAAAAGAAATATCTTTAAAATTTTGAGAGAAAAAATTTGTCAACTCAGAATTCTATATTCAGTGAAAATATCCTAAGAAATAAAACTAAGAGAATTCATTGTAAGCAGACCTGCTCCATATGAAATGCTAAAACAAATGATTCCAGCTGAAGAAAAATAATACCAGAGAGAAACTTGGATTTTTAAGAATGAAGAAAGAGCAACAGAAATGGTAAACAGGCCGGGGTAGATGGCTCACACCTCTGTAATCTCAGCTACTTGGGAGGCTGAGGTGGGAGGATCACTTCAGCCCAGCAAGCAATGAATGTGCCACCAACTCCAGCCTGGGCAACAGAGCAAGACACTGTCTCTTAAAAAAACAAGAGTAGGGGCAGACACTAAGCATTCAAATAATCCAAAAGAAGAAACACAGGAACAAAAAACAATGGATAAACAGAGAACAAAAAATAAAAGGGCAGACCTATCCAACCATATCAATAATTAATTTAAATGTTTACAGTCTAAACACTCCAGTTAAAAGTCAGCAAATGACAGAGTAAAATAAAAAGTGATACCCTACTACATGCTACCTACAAGAAGCACACTCTAAAATATAAAGACATCTATAGATTGAAAATAAACAGATGAAAAAATTGTATCATACAATCAGCAAACATAAGGCTGGAATGACTATTTTAATATCAGATAAAACAGACTTCAAGACAAAGAGTACTGCCAGAGATAAAAAGAGACACTTCATAATGACAAAAGTGTCAAATCATTGGGAAGGCATAATTACCCACTGTATGTGCCTAATAATAGAGCCTCAAAATACACAAAGCGAAAACTGACAAAATTAAAGGGAAAAATAGACAATTCCACAATCTTAGCAGAAAATTTAAGACCTCCCCCTTTCAGCAACTGATAGAACTAGATAAAAATTCAGTAAAAGACATAAATGATCTGAACTGCACTATTAGCCACCTTGCTCTAGTTAACATTTACACAACACTACATCTAACAACTGCAGGATATATATTCTTTTCAAGTGCACATTATGCATTCATTAAGCTAGATCTTACGCTGGGCCATCAACTTTAACTTTTATTAAAAGGATGAGAATTACACAGTGTATTCTCTGACCACATTGGTATCAACTTAGGAGTCAATAATAGGAAGATATCTAAAAACAAAAAACACAAAAAATCCAAATATCTGCAAATTAAATAATCTACTTCTAAATAATTCATAGGTCCAAAATGAAATCACAAATGAAATTTGAAAATATTTTGCACTGAAAAACAACAAAAATATGCATATCAACATTTGTAGGATGCAACTAAAGCAATACTTAGAAACTTAAAGCTTTAAATGCTTATACTAGAAACGATCTAAAATCAATGACTTAAGATTTCATCTTAAGATACCTTAAAAGGAAAAGCAAAGTAAACCAAAGAAAAGGTAAGGTAAGAGGAGAAACCCATGAACTAGAAAACAGACAATAGGGGAAATGTGGTTCTTTGAAATGATCACAAAATTGACAACCCTGTAGCTAGACTTAGACTGATCTACAAAAAAAGACACTACAAATAGCCAATATCACAAATGAAAAAGGGGTTACCGCAGATTATGTAGACATTAAGTAATAATATACTTTGAATAACTTTATGCTAATCAATGGAAAAATTACAATGAACAAATTTCTTTAAAAATACTACTTACCAAAACTGACACAAGAAGAAACTGGAAATCTAAGTAGCCCTATATCTATTAAATAAACTGAATTTATGAAATCCTTCCCACAGTGAAAACTACAGGCCCATGTAGTTTCACTGCTGAATGCCATTGCAATAGGTTTAAAACAAGATCAAAAGGAAAAAAGCAAAACTGTCCCTACTTGCAGATTATATGATTGTTTACAAAATAAATCCCAAGGAATCTACAAAACAATTACTAGAACTAATAAATTAATTTATAAAGTGTCAGGATACAAGGATAACATACAAAGTCAACTGAATACTTATATACTAGCAACAATCAACTAGAAAATGACATTATAAAAATAATACCATTTACAATTACATCAGTAAAACATAATATACCTGGGAACAAACCTAACAAAAGACGTTCCAGACTTTTAAAAACAATGAAACTACAACACATTGCTGAGAGTAATTAAGAAGACTTAAAGGGGAAAATATAGCATGTTCATAAATCAGAAAACTCAATATTGTTAAAATAGCAATTTTCCCCAACGGAATCTATAGATTCAATATAATACCAATCAATACTCAGCAAGCTTCTTTTAATAGATATTGGCAACCCAATTCTATACTTCTTATAAAAACGCAAAGAACTGAGAATAACCAAAACAATTTTGAAAAAGAACACTAAAGTTAGAGGACTTACTGATTTCAAGAGTCTAAATAAACATCAGTAGAACAGAATAAGGAGAGTCCAGAAACAGACCTACACATATACATGTCCAAGTGAAGTTTGACAAAGATGCCAAGGCAATTCAGTAGGGAAAGAAAACTCTTTCCAACAACTGGGTATATAAATAGAAAAAAAAGTCAACATTGACCCTTACCATAAAACATTCACAGAAATTAACTCTAAATGAGTCACAGACCTAAATATAAAACCTATAAAACTTCTAGGAGAAAAGACCACAGAAAATCTCTGCAATTAGGGAGGCAAAAGTTTCTTTTTTTTAATTATTATTATTTCTTAAGACGGAATCTCGCTCTGTCGCCCAGGCTGGAGTGCAGTGGCACCACCTTGACTCGCTACGACCTCCAGGGAGGCAAAGGTTTCTTAAATAGGATACATAAAAGCATGAAATGTAAGAAAAAAATGATAAATTTAAACCTTTTGCTCTTCAAAAGACATCATTAAGAAAATGAAAGACAAACCAGACTGGAAGGAAGTATAACAGACAAACGAGTTGTATTCAGGACAGATTTTTTTAAATACCACAATTCAATAAGATAACCCACTTTTTTTAATGGACAAAAATGTAAACATTTTACAAAAGTAGACACACAAATGGCCAATAAGAATAGGAACAGATGAAGGCTGGGCGCGGTGGCTCACACCGTTAATCCCAGCACTTTGGGAGGCAAAGGTGGGCAGATCACCTGAGGTTGGGAGTTCGAGACCAGCCTGACCAACATGGAGAAACCCCGTCTCTACTAAAAATATAAAATTAGCCAGGCGTGGCGGCACATGCCTGTAATCCCAGCTACTCCGGAGGGTGAGCAGAAGAATAGCTTGAATCTGGGAGGCGGAGGTTGCAGTGAGCCGAGATTGCACCATTGCACTCCAGCCTGGGCAACAAGAGTGAAACTCTGTCTCAAAAAAAATAAAATAAAAAAGAATATGAACAGATGCAAAAAAAAAAAGATCAAAAAAAGAAAGAATACGAACAGATGCTCAACATTATTATTCATATATGATGAATTAAAAACCACAAATTAGGCCAGGTGTGGTGGCTCAAGCATGTAATCCCAGCACTTTGGGAGGCCAAGGTGGGCAGAACACTTAAGGTCAGGAGTTCGAGACCAGCCTGGCCAACATGGTGAAATCCCATCTCTACTAAAAATACCAAAATTAGTCAGGCGTGGTGATGCACACCGGTAATCCCAGCTACTCAGGAGGCTAAGGCAGAAGAATCAGTTAAACCTGGGAGGCAAAGGGTTCGGTGAGCCAGGATCAGGCCACTGCACTCCAGCCTGGGTGACAGAGGGAGACACTGTCTCAAAAAAAGAAAAAAAAAAAAAAAAAACCCATGAATTAAAACCACAGTGAGATACCACTACACACCCATTAAATTAGCTAAAATTGAAAAGACTGACTCATACATTGCTGGTAGGAATGCAAAATAATACCACTTTGGAAAGCAGGTAGTTTCCTAAAAAGCTAAACATACTCCTGCCATATGAATCAACCAACCTAGGATGGTAAATACCATCTTAGATATTTATCAAAAGAAATGAAAGCATTTGTCCACACAAGACTTGTACATGAACGTTCACAGCAGCCTTATTGTTTGACACCCTAAAACTGAAAATAACTCAAATGTCAATCAAGATAGATGGCTAAACAAATTATGGTATCCATAATGGAATTCTACCCAGCAATAAAAACTATTTGTCATCTCAAAATCATTATTCTGAGTGAAAGAAATCATGAAAAAAATGAGAACATACTGTGTGACTTCATTTATATAAAATCCTAGAATATGCAAACCACTGTACAGTGGTGCCCGTGGACAGGAGTGGAGGAAGAAATGGCAGAGACATGAACAAACTTTTGAGAGAGATGAAAATGTTTATTATCTTGATTGTGGCAATGGTTTCACGGGTACAGACATACGTCAAAGCTGACCATAGTGTACGCTTTAAATATGTGCAGTCTATTGTACTCTAATTATACCTCAATAAAGGTATTTTTAAAAATTAATGGACTGGCAGGCCTCTAAGGCCAAAACCTACCATCCCAAACAATGCTAGAAACACTTGATGGGACAGGCGCAGTGGCTCATGCCTGTAATCCTAGCACTTTGGAAGGCCAAGATGGGCGAACTGCCTGAGCTCAGGAGTTCAAGACCAGCCTGGGCAACACTGTGAAACCCCTTCTCTACTAAAATACAAAAACTTAGCAGGGCACAGCGGTGTGCACCTGTAATCCCAGCTACTCGGGAGGCTGAGGCAGGAGAATTGCTTGAACCCAGGAGGTGGAGGTTGTGGTGAGCCGAGATCATGCCACTGCACTCCAGCCTAGGCGACAGAGCAAGACTCCATCTCCAACAACAACAACAACAACAACAACAACAACAAAGACTTGATGGTACCAACAGGCCATTAAGAGCTGAGTCCCATGTAATAACTCTTAGGAAACTCTCCATGTAGGAATTTCTTACTATCAGTGTAGGACTCAGAAATACAGTACCCATATACCCTCTTATGAATAAGCATAAGCATACTGAAAAGGCAACAGTTCATATGATCATAATTAACTCTTGGAGATTAAATCAAGGTGGTTAGGGAATCCCTCCTCCAGGTCTCATGTTTTATTTTTAAAGCACTCAACAAAAACAATTCTCAAGTATTTTACAATATCTACCCATCAACCCCAGGACATTTGATTATTTGTAAAAAAAACCAGATTAAGCTCAAACTTCCCTTTCCATACATATAACAAGAAAAAGCTTTGTTGTGATACAATGACTATCATAATTGCATTTATTTTATAATTTGTTGCCACCAGTGTGGCAACTCTCAGCTTCTGATCACAAACATAAAAAGTTTAGCCTATTTTCAACTCCTTTCTGATCTACCAAAAATTTTTAAGAGCCCCTAGCTCATTCTTCCATGTGCAAATATTTAGATTTCATTAGAAAAGTACTTTAGTTCATCTCGGTATCCTTTGTAAACTTATTTAATTCTACCCAATCTTTAAAAGCTAGTGTTCTCCATGATTTCCTCCTCTACTCTTCTCTGGTCTCACTTCTCACCATTGACTCTCAAATGTCACAATCTCCTAGGAAGCTAGTTAAAAGTAAAGATTTCTATGCCCTAAACCCAATGATTCCAAATCTGGTTAATGGATGGGGGCCTAATAATCTTATTTTTTAACAATTATCTCTAGGTGACCAAGGTACATACTGAGAAACATTGCTCTAACCACTTTAACTAGAAGAGCTCATTAAAACTCTCAGCTTGTGGAAGAAAACATCATGTTTCCAATTATTTTTTATAGCTGATAATTCCCAATTCTGTATTTCAGACCAGCTCTTCATCTGAGGTCCAAACCTATTTGTTTTTGTTCCAAATGTTGCTCCTCATTCAGAAATTTGTAGTTCTGTGAATTACTCCAAAATTCACCTGATGGCCAAAGCCAGAAACCCATAGACATCCTATCTTCCTTCTCTTACTCACTTCTCATCATCACCACCTGTACATTCCCTATACGTTGTTCCCTACGTATTCCCTGTATATTGTTCCCACCATAGGCTACATGTTCTTTATTCATCTCTTAGGTTATCATAATAACCTCTGAACCAGTTTCCCAGTACCCTTCCAAATCCATCCTTCATAATGCTGCCAGAGTGGCCTAAGACCAATATCTGGCTATGTCATTCCCTCATTATCTCTTCCAGGATAAAATCCAAACACTTTAGCATGCCGTAACAGGTCCTCCATGGTCTAGCCCCTACTAACCTCTCTAAACGCTCTCCCTGCAATCCCTCATCCTCTATCCCAGACATACAGAACTACTTACTATCCCATTAACTCTTTCCACACGTTCACATGCTGTTCTCTGTTCTGAAAAACCTTTCTCCTTCTCACTAACTGCATGATTCCTCAACTTTCAAGTTTCTACTTAGGAGTGACCTGCTCTGATAATCCTTCCCTTCCAAACTATCACTCCCCTTCCTCAAAGGCTAAATTAAATTCCTACTTAAAAATACTTACTTATTACAATGAACTGTGTTGACCTACTTGCCTATCTCCCCTTCTAGACTGCTAGTTGTTTTTCATGCCTGTATTCCTAACCTACTACAGAACTGGCGCACAGCAAACATGTAGTAAATGTCACCTGAATGAATGAATCCATTTAATGTCTAGTTAACAAGAATGTTTTCTTTTGTATTAACCATGGAAAAACTAAGCACCTTCAGTGTACTAAATAATAAACCAGTCTTACAGACAAGTAGTTTAAAAATACAAGGATTTCTTACGGCCATTTTTATCATCCATCCCAAGTTCATCAGTGTATTTATGAGCACGAATTTCATGTCTGGAGAAATACAGAATTACCACTGAGTCTTTGGTTCCATTTTTATTACAATTTGTACTTTTTTTTTGCAAGCTAGGTTTTTCTCCCACACACTAGACTTAGACCTACACTGTCCAATCCGATAGCCACGAGCTACAGGTGGCTATTTAACGTTAGTTAAAATTAAATAAAATTTAAAATTCAATCCCTCAGTCGCACTAGCCACATTTCAAGCGCTCAAAAGGCGTACGGGGCTAGTAGCTATGATACTAGACAGTGCAGATACAGAACATTTTCGTCACAAGAAGTTCCACTGGACAGCGCTGGCCACAAAATCACAAAAGAACCTTAGAAAAACCTCACTCACTTGGCAAATAAAATTTAAAATTCAGTCCCTCAGTTGCACTAGCCACATTTCAACTGCTCAAAATCCACACCGGGTTAGTGGCTATGATACTGGACAATGCAGATACAGAACATTTTCATCACAGGAAGAAGTTCTACTGGTCAGCGCTGGTGACACAATCATAAAAGGACCTTAGAAAACCTCACTTACTTCTTAGCTCCCACGATCCTCGTGCTCCTCTGCTGCTTAAAGGTTGTGGGTCCCGAAGTCTAGCAAATCACAAGCACACGAGTGAGTGCTAGGGACCTCTGAACCTCGACCACAAAAAGACGAATTCCCCTATGCCCAGAAGAAATGAAGTTCTCCCGGGGAAACCACCTCAAACACAAGAAGGCAACACCTTTTAGGAAAAATATGCTGTCCTATCTTCCAGCAGTGCAAAGGCGGGTAACAATACCAGAGCCTTCGTCTTCCCCCATTCTCAAAGCCCTGTCCCAGGCTCTAAAAGGGAGGCCAAAAGAAAAGACAACGGATATGAGAGACATTGGGGATGTAAAAGGAATAGAAACTAATGGTAATGTGGCGAGGAATTAAATCCAAGGAGGTGGGGAACAGGCAGCAGAACGTGGGTAAAGAAAAAGGGACAGGTGATCTGATCTAGAAGGGTGGGGCCTACGATGGCCTCTGATAAAACCAACTCAGCATGGGACAAAAGCGAGGGACCGCGTGTTCCGGGCTCGACAGCGCTACCTCTAAAGCATAACGGTCAAACCAAGAAACTCACGGCGGGTACAGCACCGAGTCTGGAAGACATCACTCCCTCTCCACGCCTAACAATTTCACCCAAGGGCTCCGGCCAGACCAACGCCACTTCCGCTCTCCTCTCCCGGATGTGGGCTCGGCTCCGCCTAGCCCTCTTCTGAACTTCTACTTCCGCCTAGCAGCTTCCGAGGGGGCTGCGGCCGGAGCGAGTCACGTGATGAGTCACCCTCCGATTCCTCTGAGACCCCGCCCCACTGGGATCGCGACGCGGGACCCGGGAACCTATGGGTGGGGTCTGGAGTGAAGGGGCGGAGCTTGGAGCCTCGGCTGGGCCTCAAAACCCCTGGCTCTCATTCCGAATCTTTGCACAACTCCTCGTGTCCCTCCAGCCTGCCTTCCCCATCCACCCGCCCAGTGGTCTCAGTCCAGATGCACAGGAAGATCATTTACTGCCCCTTTATTCATCTTAGAGAAATTACAGACCCATTCTCACCCGCCTCCCCCCCGGTAGAGAGAAATGGAAGCCTTTCCACGCTGGGGGCGCAGGAATTGGAGGCAGTGGCTGAGCAGGAAAGAAGCCTGGAAAGGGCAGCACGATGAAGACTTAGGACAATGAATAATAGGGGCGGACCTCGCCTCATCGAGTAGCTTCAGGCCTCCACACTTGCCCTGCTTTGGGATTTTTATGTGTGGTCCCGAGGAGAGTTGTTTGATTCTTGAAATCTCTAGACAAACTATGGCTGGGCCTCTCTCCAGGGAAACTGTACTTGAGTCCCTCCTTAAGGGGACTGCGTCGGCTCCTCTCAGAGGGACTGCAATGGTTCCTCCCAGAGGGCCTCCCTGGCCTCATCTCAGAGGGACTGTGACGGGTTCTCTCACAGGAACTGCGATGGCTCCTCTCAGAGGTCCTCCCTTGCCTCATCCCGGAGGGACTGCGATGGCTTCTCTCAGAGGGACTGTGACAGGTTTTCCCAGAGGAACTGTGTCCTCTCCTCTCAGAGGGACTGCAACGGCTTCTTTCCAAGGGACTGAGGTGGCTCTTCTCTGAGGGACTGTGACTTCTCTCAGAAATCCTACGATGGCTCCTCTCAAAGGACCTGTGAGATCTCCTCTCAGAGGGACTGCGATGGCTCCTCTCCAAGAGACTGTGACGGCTCCTCTCCAAGGGACTGTGACGTCTTCTCTCAGAGGGACTGTGATGGCTTCTCTCAGAGGGACTGTGATGGCTTTTCTCTGAGGGACTGTGATGTCTTCTCTCAGAGGGACTGCGATGTCTTCTCTCAGAGGGACTGCAATGGCTTCTCTCAGAGGGACTGCAATGGCTTCTCTCAGAGGGACTGTGATGTCTTCTCTCAGAGGGACTGTGATGGCTTCTCTCAGAGGGACTGTGATGGCTTCTCTCTGAGGGACTGCGATGGCTCCTCCGAGCGGGACTGCGATGGCTTCTCTTAGAGGGACTGTGATGTCTTCTCTCAGAGGGACCACGATGGCTCCTCTGAGAGGGACTGCGATGTCTTCTCTCAGAGGGACTGCAATGGCTTCTCTCTGAGGGACCGCGATGGCTCCTCTGGGAGGGACTGCGATGTCTTCTCTCAGAGGAACTGCGATGGCTTCTCTCTGAGGGACTGCGATGGCTTCTCTCTGAGGGACTGTGATGTCTTCTCTGAGAGGGACCGCGATGGCTCCTCTGAGAGGGACTGTGAAGGCCCCTTTCAGAGAGACTGTGACAGCTCCTCTCGGGGGGACTGCAGTGATTTCTCTGAGACGGACTGCGCCAGCTTCTCTCAGAAGGACTGGAATGGTTTTTCCTAGAGGGACTGCAGTGGCTCCTCTGAGAGGGACTGTGATGTCTTCTCTCCAAGGAACTGCGTTGGCTTCTCTCAGAGGGACTGCGATGGTTTCTCCAAGAGGGGTTATGACGGGTTCTCTCAGAAGGACCGCGTGGGGTTCTCTCCCTATAGAAGCTGGGGTGGTTATGCTCCTTGTGTGTGAGTTTGTCTTTAAGATGTCGGTGCCAGGTTCTCTTCACAGGGGAACCAGGTAGGATTCTTCCTCGGGCCTGAACTCTGGTTCCTGGTGTGGACAAGTTCTTAGACTCCTGGCTGGAGGTTTCATTTCTATAGAAGTTTTTCTTTGATCTGCTACTACTGTCCTTTTGAACAGTTCTCAGAGGCTGCCCCACTGAGGCAGTTTGGAAAGCAATACCACTTTGGGAATCTGTGGGCTTGGGCAGTCGAAGAGGTCTGGGTTGGAAAGAGTAAGCTCTTCTTGGCTGTTGAGCTGATCTGCACTGGACCGTTCCTCCCCACAATATGTCCTCCTGCTTAATGGTTGAGCCTGCTGGCGTTAGCTTGTCAGCTGACCTCTTGTCTCTTTTGATACTGCTTGGTAAGCAATAGTCCCTGGCATTTTGTTTTGGATAATAGTTTTTGCTTGCCCACAAATTGTCTGGCCTTGTCCCGTCCACAGGCTTCCGCCCAACAGAAGCTATAACTCTGTGTGCTGTTTGGAATGCCCGCTTTAGGCTCTGAAAAAGCAGTTGCATGAACTTGGGTTGGGAAGGTTTCTTAGGTTGTCTTTTTAAAGAGGCAGTACTTGTCTGAGTTGCTCCAATCCTCTTCCTTCTTAAATGGGCTGCTAATTCCCTAGAAGGACTCTCTATTGTGGTTCTACTGTTTGTGTAGAACTTTCTGTGTTTTCTAAGTCGCTTGGTGATTCTCTTCATTGGATATTTTGAATCAGAGGTCTTTTTGGTTCTCACTTTAGCCCGTTTTTCATTCTGAGTGCTTTCAGAGTCACTCTCTGGTAGGTTGTGAACTTGAGTGAATTCATAGTGCCCAGGTGCTCTAGTTTTTGTCTTTTCTACTAAGTCAGGCCTGCTGCGTTGTCCTCGCCTGATGTAGACTTGTACAGGAGCAGGGGACTGGGAAGGCCCAGACTGCAAATCTATTGTGGAAGTAGGACTCTTGGAAGCTTGAGTATAGATTTTAGCTTTCCTTTGTGATGGTGATATAGGGCTTCTCCGTATGACGGGTCTATCTCTTTCACGATACTTTGAGATTTGGGATCTTTTCCCAATTCTCAGCCTAAAGCCAAGATGCAACCGAACCTCACCATGGCCTTCAGGAGTGCGTACAAGGTGGAGCTGTGGATAGATAAGAAGATAAGGCCCCGAAGTGGTCTGTAATTTATGATGGCAATTAAGTCCTGAACATCGGCCACACTGTAGGCAGATAGGGTATTTTAGGACTAGACCTGAAGCTAGAGGTGGAGGCACATCGGGGGGTATTTGACTCCTTAAGAGTTTTGCTGCTATTTTTAGCTGCAGATCTTCTAGCAACTGGAACTGTTCTGAGAAGTCAGTCTTGGCCTGGGAAAGATAATTTGGCTTGAGGGAGTGTTGGGACTCAGAAATCCTTGTCTGGGAATCACTCTGTGAGTCCTCACTTTCTTCCATTGGAACAAGATCTTCTCTATCGTAAAATATGCTGAGGGAAGACTCTGACTTTACCAGGACAGGAAGCTGGCCCCCTGCACATGAGACAGGCATATGTTGAATGACTTCTTGGGATATACCATTGAACGTTGAGTTTGTCTTCTTTATTCTCACTCTAGTCCCAGAGTATTGCTGTATTATGGAAGATGTGGAGCCACGTGTCCATATCCTTAAGGCCATTCTTTTCTTATGACCATGATAAAAAGTATGTCTCTGAATATAGTTTTTGACCACAGAAGGCTGAGAAATAGTAACTGGACCCTTCTCTGGCAGGCTCTGGGAAGGTTCCATCAGTTCAGCTGGAATCCCAAATAAATTCTGAATAGATTGACAGGTATCTGCAGTGGCTCTTTCTGCTAAAGATGTTTGAGAACAAAGCTTCCTTTCCATAGTGGTCCCTAAAATATTCCCCAGCATTAGCATAGTGGAGAGATATTTTCTTGGTAGTCGCTGCCTCCAGGCATGACTCTCCCAGACATTGTGTTGTCTGCCCGGGAAAGACTTGATGAGACCTTTCTGAACCCCTGATTCTGCCTGGAATGTCCTAGATCGTGATCTCCAGCTTTGTGGTAGATGTCTCTGAAGTGAGTTCTCTAGCTCCTCCATTTGCTTCCTCTTAGTTGTCTCTTTAGATATTACATCCACTCCTAGAATCTCAGGACATGGGTTTTCCACAATGTTAGCTGTCTTATCGGAGCTTTGATTATGAAGGGCCAAAGGAAAAGTTAAAGATTGTATCATAGTAGGGTCTATATAGGTCTCTTCAGGCTGCAAAATATCTGTCCCAGGGTTTTTTATATCCAAAGCTCTGGATACTTCCTGTATCCCAGAATCCCAAAGTCCTCCTAATTCAGATGCTGTTCTGACAGAGCTTGAAATGAGTGTGGTTGAAGAGCTTTGTAGGAACCTAGAGAAGTCAGTCCCTACTTGTAACTCTTCTGATGTTAACTTCTGACAGTCCCTATTCTGACACACGTGTCCTAGATTCAAATCCTCAGTTTCCATAACTTTAGGAGGCTCTGTTTTTATCACTGTAGATTTCACAGCCTGAAGCCCTTGTTTATGAGTCAATATTGTATGTTCCTCAAATGGAGATGTTTGCGGTGAGGTTAATTCTGCAGACTTCACTTGAGTACATGGACTTGGAGTTAATTCTGCAGGTACTATCAGTTCTTGAAGATGTGGCCTTGGAAGTAAATCCACACAATTTATTGCTTCAATTCCTGATTCTAGGGCTACTCCTATTGGTTCTACAACCTGAGGAATTGGTCCTGGTGCTAACTCCTCAGATTTTACGATTTGAAGGGATGGCCCTGGGATTAACATAGTTTTTACAATTTGAAACCCTGTCAACTCCACTGTTTCCAAAATCTGGTGTTTTGGCTTTGTGATTAATTTTGTAGATTTCACATCTTGCAAACATGGCCCTGTGTGGTGCTCTGAAGGTCTCACATATTGCAGTTTTGGAGTCAACTCAATATATTCTACCATTTGAGGGGTTGGCCTTGGTATCGTCACAGACTTTACAATTTGAAATGGTGGTCCAGGGGTCACTTTCACAGATTGAACAACTTTTGGGACATCTATGAGGATTACCTCTTCAGATTGAGCAACTTGAAGCTGTGTCCTTGCAGATTCTGTGACTTGATCTAGTGGCTCTGGACTAATCCTCATAAATTCTACAATTCGACCCAGTGGTCCTGGGGTTGTCCCTGGAGATTTCATACTTTGATTCTTTGACTTTGTTAGCCCCATTGATACCTCCCTGTGCTGCCGTGCCTCAGAGGTGAGCTCTACAGATTCTTCATGTCCTATAACTTGACTTGTTTGCTTCAGGGGCACCTCTAAAGATTCCTCCATTTGTAGCCATTGCTTACAGGTCAGATTTACAGATTCTGGGACTTGATGTCCTAACCCTGATATTATCCCTGGAGATCCCACATGATGCTGTGGTTTGGGGGTTAATTGCAAAGTTTTCTCTACCTGCACTCCTGACTTAGAAGTCAACTCCACAGATTCAGGAACTCGATGTCCTAACCCAGGTGTCATCCCTGAAGCAGAATCTGGGACGTGATGTAATGACTTTGGAATCAATACCACAGATTCTTCCCCTTGCAGTCTTTTCTCAGAGATCACCTCCACACATTCTAAGTTTTGAGGACAGAGCCTTGGGGATCTCTCTGCAAATCCAGTGGCTTGACTTGTTGGCTTTGGGGTCATTCCAAAGAATTCATTTGCTTGTATCCTTGCCTCAGCGGTCAACCCCATAGCTTCTGTAAAGTAATGCTTGAGTTCCGGAGTAATCCCTTCATATTCCACAGTTTGCTGCAGTGGCTTCATATATAACTCCCCCACATCCTTAACTCGGGGCCGTGACTGAGAGAGCAATTCCATAGTTTCTAGGATTTGGTAGCTTTTCTCTGGAGTTAATCCTAAGAATTTTGAGCCTTGATCCCTTACCATTGGAGTCAGATCAACAAATTTTGGTACCTGAAGATCTGGCTGCAGCAGCATCCCTAAGGATTCCTTAGCTCTACCTGTTAGCTTTGGGGTCAACCCCACAGATTTCTCTACAGTATCTATGCCTTTATATGCCAATCCTTGTGCCATTTCTGAAGATTCTGTGGCGTGATAAATTGGTATTGAAATCAAATTTGCAGATTTAGGGATTTGATACTTTGGCTGTGGGATCATCTCTGCATATTTTGCAAACTGATGCCCTGGTCTAGGGATTAGTTCAGAGGATTCCATGATTTGATAATTTGTTCTTGGAGTTTGCTCCCCATATTTCACTCTTTGAGGCAGTGACCCTGGTGCTAATTCCACAGATTTTATAGTTTGCTGCAGAGACACTGAAGATAATTTCACATGTTTTACGCTTTGCAACTTTGGCTCTACAGTAAACTCCAAAGATTTCACATCCTGTTGCTGTGATTCTGGAGACAAATTTGAAAATCTGACACTAGTCAACAGTGGTCCTGATGGGAACTTCCTAGTTGGCTCTGGTACCAACATCATTGATTTCACATCTTGCCATCCTGAAGTCAACTCTTGATAATTTATACCTTGCTGTTGGGCCCCTGGTGTCAGCTCCATAGGTTTTACATCTTGAAAGCATGGCTTCGATGCAAAGGCCACAGATTTAACGCATTGTGACCCAAAGCATGATGTCAACCCTGAAGAATTTACACTTTGAGGTTGTGGCCATAGAGTTGACTTCACAGATTTCACATCTTGAGAACATGGCTCTGGTACAAATACCACAGATCTCACATTATGCTGCCTGAGGTGTGAATGGAACTCCTCAGAATTCATACCTTGCAGCTGCGGGCCAGAGTTGAACTCCTTTGGTGTTATATCTTGAAATTTTGTCCCTGGAGTCAGTTCACATTTTACATCTTGTAAATGTTGCACAGAGTTGAACACAACAGATTTTATACCTTGAAGCTCTGGCCCTGGATGCAACTCAGAAAATTTCATAACTTGAAATTTTGTCCCTGATTCTACACCTTGCAAGTGTGGCGCAAGTTTGCACTCCATAGAATCTATACATTGCAATTTTAGCCCTGGATTCAACTCAGAAGAATTCACATACTGCACCTGTGGCCCAGGGTTGCATTCCATAGGTGCTGCACGTAGAAGCTTTGACCCTGGAGTCAATTCAGATTTTAAACCTTGCAAATGTGGTATAGGGTTGAACATCATAGGTGTCTCACTTTGAATTTCTGTCCCTGGGTTCAATTCAGAACACTTCATACCTTGAAGTTTTGAAACTGGAGTTAATTCAGGCGATTTCATACCTTGTAAATACGGCCCTGGGTTGCACCCAATAGAATTTACACAGTGAGCTTTTGGCTGTGGAATGAATGCAGAATTCACACCTTGCAAATGTGGCCCAGGGATGCACCCATTAGAACTTATACACTGAAGTTTAGGTGCTGGAATGGATGCAGAATTTACACCTTGCAAAGGTAGCCCACAGTTGCTCCCAGTAGAATTTACACACTGATGTGGTGGCTCTGGAATGGATACAGAAGAATTCACATCTTGCAAATGTGGTCCAAGGCAGAACACCTTAGATTTTATACCTTGAAGCTCAGGCCCAGGATTCAACTTGGCAGATTTTGTTCCTTGCAACTGTGGTCCAGGGTTGAAATCTAAAGATTGTATACCTTGAAGCCTTGTTCCTAGGCACAACTCAGAAGATTTCACACCTTGCAACTGTTGCTGAAGATTGAATTTCATAGATTTTACATCTTGAAGCTTTGTCCCTGTGCATAATTCTGAAGATTTTCTATGTTGCAGATGTGGCTCAGGATTGAACACCATAAATTTTACACTTTGAAGGTCTGGCCATGGATTCAATTTATGAGATTTCTCATCTTGCTGCTGCTTTTCAGCATTGAACTCAGAAGGTGCCACACTATGAATCTTTGATTCCAAGGCCAACTTAGAGAGTTTTGCAACCTGCAATTCTGGGTCATGGTTGCCTTCTGTAGAGTTCACCGTCTGAAGCTTTATCAACCCAGATTTCATATCTTCCAACTTTGCCCCAGGATTATATTCTACAGATTTCACACCCTGAAGGTGTATCCCTGGTGTCAACATAGATAATTTTCTATCTTGTAACTGTGAAGTTGAGCTTAACTCCAAAGATGTCCTATCCTGTACCTTTGTACCTACAGTCAATTCAGAAGATTTCACATCTTGCCGCATTGGCCTAGGCATGAGCACAGATTTCACTTTTTGAAGCTTTGTCGCTGGGATCACTTCAGAAGATTTCATACCTTGCAAGTGTGATCCAGAACTGAACTCCATAGATTTTACATCTTGAAGCTCTGTCCCCATTATTGAGTTAGAATATTTTGTATCTTGCCACTGTGGGCCCGAGTTGAACTCCACAGATTCCCCACCTTGAAGCTTTGTCTCTGGTGTTAACTCAGAAGATGTCACACCTTGTAACTTTAGACCATGGTGGAATTCTACAGATTTAACATCTTGATGGTTTGTTCCCTGAATCAACTCAGAAGATTTTTCGCTTTGTGTCTGTTGTCCAGAATTGAAATCCATTGATTTCATACTTTGAAGCCTTGTCCCTGAGGTTACCTCAGAAGATTTTATACCTTGAAAGTGTTGTCCAGAACTGAACTTCATAGATTTTACATCTTGAAGCTTTATACCCATGATCAGATCAGAAGATTTTATATCTTGTAACTGTGGGCCTGATTCCAGCTCTACAGATTTCACACCTGGAAACTTCCTCCCCAGGGTCAAATCAGATTTCTCACTTTGTAACTTTGGACTAGGTTTGAATTCTACCGATTTCACACCCTGAAGCTTTCCCCCTGGAATCACTTCAGAAGATTTCACAGTCTGTAAGTGTGGTCCAGAACTGAAATCCATAGATTTAATGTCTTGACACTTTATACCAATGATCAACCTAGAAGATTTCAAATCTTGCAACCGTGGGCCTGAGTTGCATTCCATTAATTTCACTTCTTGAAGCTTTGTCTTCGGTATCGACTCAGAAGATTTCACTCCTTGCAACTGTGGCCCAGGTTTGAAGTCTGTAGATTTGACACCTTGAATCTTGGTCCTTGTGGTCAAATCATAATATGGGATATCTTTCAATTGTGAACTGGGGTTTAACTCTCTAAACTTCATGTCTTGGGACTTTGTCTTAGGGTTCAACTTAGAAGATTTGACACATTGCCATTGTGGCCCAGAGTTGAACTCCTCAGATTTCATACCTGGAAGTTCTGTCTGATGAGCCAATTCAGATGATTTCTTGCTTTTCAAGTGTAGTAAGGAGTTCAGCGCTACAGTTTTATCACTTTGTAATGGTAGCTCTTGGCTTAATACTCCAGATTTCACCCCTGAAAACTGTGGCACTTGTGTAAACGCTGGAGACTTCACATCTTGCAGCTGTGTTCCTGGGCATGCCTCCAAGGGTTTCACTTTGTGCAGCTGTGGTCTTGGGGTCAACTCAGAAGATTTCACATCTTGCGAGTGAAGCCCAGGTTTGAATGCCATAGATTTTATATCACAGAGCTTTGATGTTGAAATTGGGCCACATGATTTCACAGTTCTCAACTGTAGCCCAGATTTCAAAGCAATAGGTTTGAGCCCTGGCAACTGATGTTCCTGGAGTGATGTCAAAGGTTGTATACTTTGGAGCTTTGGCCTTGGAGTCAACTCAGATGACTTCACATTTCTTAATTGTACTGAAGGTTTCAATTCTACAGTTGTGACAACTCGAGATTGTGAACCACATTTTAGCACAGATTTCACACCTTGGAACTCAGGTCCTGGTATCCACTGCACAGAGTTCACACTTCCAAGCTGTGAGTCTTTGTTTGACTCCACATCTTTTACACCTTGAAGCTGTGGCTCTGAGGTTGACGCCAGAATTTTCCCTTTCTGCAACTGTGGTCCTCGGGACATCTTAGGAGTTTTCACACATTGCAACTGTGGCCCAAAGTTAAACTCCACAGGTTTTGCACCTTGAAGTTTTGGCCCTAGAGTCAATTCAGATGATTTTACACCTCCCGACTCTGTGGAGGATTTCAACTCTGCAGGCTTGACACCTCGAGATTGTGAACCAAGATTCAACCCTACAGTTTTTACACCTTGGAACTCAGGTCCTGATATCCACTGCACAGATTTCGCATTTCCAAGCTGTGAGTCTTGGTTTAGCTCTACAGTTTTCACACCTTGAAAATATGGCTCTGAGGTCGATGCTGGAATTTTCCCTTTTTGCAGCTGTGGTCCTTGGGACAACTCAGGAGCTTTCACAAAGTGCAACTGTGACCCAAGGTTAAACTCCATAGATGTTACACTTTGAAGTTTTGGCCCTAGAGTCAGTTGAGATGACTTTACACCTCCTGACTCTATGGAAGATTTCGACTCTCCAGGTTTGACACCTTGAGATTGTGAACCAAGATTTAACCCTATAGTTTTTACACCTTGGAACTCAGGTCCTGGTATCCACTGCACAGATTTCACACTTGTAAGCTGTGAGTCTTGGTTTAACTCCACAGTTTTCACACCTTGAAGTTGTGGCTCTGAGGTGGATGCTAGCATTTTCCCTTTTTGCAGCTGTGGTCCTGAAGACAACTCAGAGGTTTTTACACACTGCAACTGTGGCCCACGGTTAAACTCCATAGGTTTTGCACCTTGAAGTTTTGGCTCTAGAACCAATTTAGATGCTATCATATCTCCCAACTGTATGGAAAGTTTCAATTCTGCAGGTTTGACACTTCGAGATTGTGACCCAAGATTTAACCCTACAGATTTTAGACCTTGGAACTCAGGTCTTGTTATCCACTGAACAGATTTCATTCTTCCAAGCTCTAGCTCTTTGTTTAACTCCACAATTTTCACACTTTGAATCTGTGGCTCTACAGTCGAGCCCAAGGGTTTCACTTGGTGCAACTGTGGTCCTGGGGTCAACTTGGGAGATTTCATACTTTGCAACTGTGGTTCATGTTTGAACTCTTTAGCTTTTACATCTTGCATATTTGATTCTGGAGTCAATTCAGATGATTTTATACCTTTCGACTGTAGGTCAGACTTGAGGTCTACCGATTTTATACCTTCAGATTTTGGCTCTGGAATTAACTCCAAAGACATTACACCTTCTGACTCAGACCCTTTCTTTACTTGCTCAAAATTCACACATTGCTGCTCTTGTGAGTTTACAGATATCTGACCATCCTGTTCAGGCTCAAGGGTTAAATCCACAGGTGCCATCCCTTGAAACTGTTGCTTTAGGGCTAAATCCACAGATTTTACTTCTTCAAACTCTTCTCCTCTGGTTATATTCACAAATTTTACTGCCTGCCTCTTTTGCCATGGGGTCAACTTTACAGGTTTTACACATTGCAGATGTGGATCTTGAGTCTCCTTTATAGATTTTAAACTTCGAAGCTTTAAACATGGAGTAATCTCCACAAATTTCATATCTTGCATTTGTGGGACTGAGGTCAGTTCTTCAGGTTTCACACTTTGTAGCTGAGGCCTTTGAAGCGTCTCCATAGATTTAACCCCTTGAAGCAATGGCCCTGGTGCAAAAGCCATAGACTCACCTTGCATCTTTAGCCCAAGTTTTAATTTAGCAGTTTTCATATCTTGCAGCTGTGTACCTAGGACCAACTCCTCAGTTTTTAAATCTTGAATTCTTGAACATGGAGTCAACTCCACAGATTTTACACCTTGAAGCTCAGAATCAGGGGTGAATTCCACAGATTTGACATCTTCTGTCTGTGACCCTAAGGTTATCGCCACAGATTTCCCACCTTCCGGCTGTGGGAAGGTTATCTCCATAGATTTTATGCTTTCCAGGCATGGTCCTGGAGTTAAGGTCACAGATTTCATATCTTCCAAGTGTGATCCTGAAGTCAGCAACTCAGATTGAAGCTTTGAGCCCGGGGTTACCTCCTCAAGTTTTACACCTCCTGCCTGTGGCTCTGGGGTTAACGTCATAGATTTGACATCTTCCAATTCTGGCTCTGGTGTTAACTGCATAGTTTTCACATCTCCCAAATGTGGCCCTGAGATTAATTCCGCAGATGTCATATCTTCTAGCTGTGGCTCTGAGGTTAGCTTTTCAGATCTGAAACCTTTAAGTTTCAAGACTGGGCTCCACTCCACAGGATTTACGTTTTGTAACTGTGGTCTTTGTATCAATTCAGAAGATTTAATACCTTGTAACTGTGGTTGTCTGGTCAACTCAGAATGATTTACACTGGGCAACTGTGGCCCAGGAGTCAACTCCATGGATTCTGCATCTGGCATTTGTGGCTCTGAGACTAATTTATAGGAAACTTCAGCTTCAAGGCTTGGTTCTTGGTTGCCTGCTACATATTTTACACCTTGAAACAGTGGCTCTGGTACTAACAACTCAGGCTTAACCCCTTCCCCCTCTGGCCCTGGAGCCATTGTCACAGGTGGTACCCCTTGCATCTTTGGCCCTGGGGTCATCTCTAAAACTTTTACACATTGTAGCTGTGGCCCTGAGTTTAACTCTAAAGATTTCACACCTTGAGGTTGAGTTCCTGGTACTAAATCAAAACATTTGACATCTTGTAGCTGCAGCTCTGGGTTAAGCCCTACCTGTTTCATACTTTGAGTTCCTGGAAATATCTTTGCTAATTTGGAATCTTGCAGCCCTAACTTTGGAACCACCTCTACAAAATTCACACTATGAAACATTGATCCTGGAGTTTGATCCGCAGAATTGACACCTTGCAGCTTTGGCCTTGAAGTCAATTCAGAAAATTTGATATCTTGCTGCCATGGCCCTAGGTTTACTTCCTCAGATTTTACACTTTGAAATGGTAGTTCTGAGGTCAATTTCGCAGATTTCATGCTGTGAAACTGTGATCCTTCAGTAGACAGAACAGATTTCATATCTTCAATATGTGTCCCTTGGCTTGACTGCAAAGATGACTCTGGTACAAAATCTAGAGACTTTATATCTTCGAGCTGAGCTCCTGGTGTCAACTGCATATGTTTGAAACCTTGATGCTTTGGCTCTGGGATCAAATCAGAAAATTTGACATCTTGCAAGAATAGTCCTGGGCTTAGTTCCACAAATTTCACATCTTGAGGTTGTGATTCTGGAGTCAGCTGTACAAATTTGACACTTTGATGTGTTGGCTCTGGGATAAAATCTGACAATTTGATGTCCTGAACTGGGGAATCTGAGGTCAATTCATCAGATTTCACACCATAATGTGGGGGTTGTGAGATTAATTCTACAGGTTTTTCGCCTTGAAGAAGTGGTCCTGGAAATATCTTTGAAAATCTGACACTTGGCAACTGTGGCCCTGAGGTCAATTCAGAAGATTTGACACTTGGCTGAGATGGGCCTAGATTTAAATCCACAGATTTTACACGTTGGAGCTCTTCCCTCTTAGTCAAATCCTCCAATGGCATACTTTGTAGCGGTAGCTCTGGCATCATCTCCTCAGATTCTACCACTCCTGTAGTTGACTGTTGGATTAAATTCATGTGTTTCATATCTTGCAACTGTGACTCTAGACCCAGCTGCTTAGACTTTTCTCCCTGGAGCTGTGGCCCTGGGGTCAGGTCCATAACATGTGGTTTTTGTTCTGTAATTAACTTTTTAGATCCTATCAATAATGGAGATGACTCACTGGTTAACTCCATAGATTTCAAATTTTGCAGTAGTGGCTCTGATTTCTCATATTGAGTGCCTGGTCCTAGAGTCAACTCCAAAAATCCTGTTTCTGAATGTGGTGGTACTGGGATGACCCCCTGGGTCTTAGCAACTTGAGGCAATGCCAACCCCACAGTTTCTTTATATTCTGACATGGGGGGTATCTCTGACAACTCAGTAACTTCTGAACATGGCCCTAGATTGCAGTAAACAAACTTCATATCATGGGGCTGTGGCTCTGTGGTCACCCCCTCTGATTTCACACTTTGCATTTCTGATCCTGGTATCAAATCCAGAGATTCTTTTGTTGTGTGTTGTGATACTGGAGTTTCCCCCATTGCTTTTCCAAGTTGGTGCATTGTCTTGAGAATGTCTTGGAATGACACTGAGCTCATCTCCACAGATTCTGAAGTTTGGCTCAGTGGCCCTGGGCTAGTTCCTAAAGATGGTTGTGTCAACCCAATAGATTTTTCCACTTGGTGACAGTTGTCAGAGGTCAACTTTGCTTCTTTTCCTTGATATCCTGGTCCGGAGATCATCTCTAAAGATTCTGAGGCTTGATGCCATGGGGTCAATCTTTCAGGCTCTGTGGCTTCATGATTTTGTTTGGGGCTCATCTCTGCAGCTTTTACTTCCTTAAATTGTGTCCCTTTGTTCAGTTCCCCATATTTCATACCTTGCACCTGTGTCTCAGGAATTGACCTCCTACATTCTACCATTTGAGGAGTTTTCACATCTTCAAGCAATAGTACTGGGGCTACCTTCTCAGATCTGACATCGTGTAACCATGGCTTTGGGGCCAACTCCGCAGATTTTGTATCTTCCGTTGGTGGTCTTAGGGTCAGCTCCACAGTGTTTATATCTTGAAACTCTGGTGGTAGGACCAGATGAACAGATCTCCTACCTTGCAACTGTGAACTTGGGGTCAAGCCCCCAGATTCTATAACATGTGGCTGTGCTGGTGGAATTATCTCCCTGAAATCCATGGCTTGTAATAGTGCCACTGGAATTCCTTTCACATAACCCATGACTTGATGTAATGGTGCTGAGATCATTTCCAGTGATTTTGTGTCTTGACATATTAGCCCTGGAGTAGCCTTTCCTTGTTCCATGACTTGACTTTGTGACCCTGAGGTCATGCCCGCAGATTCCATGACTTTATGCTGTGGCCCTGGCATCATTTCCACAGTTTCCGTAACTGCATGTTGTGGCCTTAGATTCATCTTTTCTGGTTTTGTGTCTTGATGGTTCAACAATGTGTTCATTTTCACTGACTCTATGACTTGATATCGTGGTGTTGGAGTCATTCCCACTGATTCTATACATGGATGTGATTTGTTAATCATCCCCATAGAATCCATAACTTGAAGCAGTGCTACAGGAGTTACTTTCTTATTATCTGTGACTTGATTCAGTAATCTTGTGGCCACCCTCTCTGATTCCATAACTTGGTGCTGAGACCTTGGGGCTGCCTCCATTGATTGAATGACTTGATTTGGTGGTTTGGGGGTTATGCTCACTGTTTCCATGGTTTCCATTGGTTTCACAACTTGACTTGGCAGCTGTGAGAACAAACCCGCAAATTCTGAATGTGATTCTGGGATCATCCCCATTGAATCCATGACCCGAAGTAGTGCCAATGGAGTTACCTTTAGGCTATCTTTGACTTGATATGATAGCCTTGGGGTCAACTCCACATTAGTCACTTGTGTCTTGTGCTGCTGTATCCTTTTTTCTGGAAAACCTATGACCCTCTCCTCTATACTAAGCTCTAGCACATGTTTTGGATCATTCTTCAGTAAAGGAGTTTCCTCTTGAATTACATTAAGTTCTAAACTTCTTGGAGGTAGACTGCCCATTGATGTAACTAAAGGCTTGAATCCAAGGATTTGAGGGCCATCCCCAGGTTGTAACTGCTTATCTGAGATAAGTGACTGTGAAAGTTTTGTTTCTGTGCTATTTGATCCAGATCCCACTCCAGCATTCACATGGAGCTGAAATGATGGAAGGTCTGAGGATTTGTTGTTGATATTTTGCTCAGTGTTTTGATGAATGGGCATAGATAACTGAGTTTGGGGTTTCTCTGATTCAGCAACTCCTCCTTGTACTTCAGTTATATAATTCAGCATTGCCCATGATTTCCTCAAAGGTAAAGGTGCTGTTTGTTGCCGCAAAGCAAAAACCTTCTGAGACATATGTCCTTCTAGCTCCCTTCTAACTGAAGGAGAGAGCTTGAATGTAGCCCACCTTGGAAGTCGTGGTCTCTCCTTGGAAACAGAATTTGGCTCATGATCTGATGTCAAATGACTCTTGCTCATTCTCTCATCATTTTTTTTCCTTTTTTGTTTGCAGATATTTAGGGGTTCAGAAATAGAGTTGATAAAAGAGCTCTGAGGTTGTAAGGGTGAAAGATCTGCCAAATTCTGAAAAATTTTTGATTTCTGGGGCTCTGAGAGCTGAAAAAGAGGCAGGGTTCTGCCTTGGTTCCTGAACACAGAGGATTGCTTTTTGTGGGAAATAGGTAAACTATGGCTCCGGAATTCCCAAGTTGTTCCTTCAGAAAAGACAGGAAGATGAGACAGACTGGAGTCATTGCATGATGAACTAAAGGAGATGCTGTGGTCAGTAGAATGTTTTGCTTTCTTATAGTCACAACAGCATAGAACAGTCTTCTGAGCCACAAGAACAGAGGTGGTAGAGGAAGAAATCATATCCTGTGATTCAGGCAAATCCTGTTCCACAAGCCTTGATCTAAGAAATAAAGAGAAATGTTTCAGTTTGCATTGAAATAGGAAAACGAAAAAAGTGGCCATTTCAAATGCAAAATATTTTTGGCCTGAAGGAGAATTTGAAAAAAAAAAAAAGTTTCTTTCCCCAACATCAATTACTTATAGAAATAATTTCTCCACCAGGACAAAGGGAGGAAACTGTTCCCATTCCACCCAGAAATGATCCTTCCACCAGTTTGAACCCAGAACTACCCCCACAGACAAAACAAACTCTCTCTTCTCCCTCTCTCCCTCCCTCCTTCATTCCCTTCCTTTCTTCTTTTTAAAACCTCTACCACCTTCAATCCCCACCCAGAAACTACATTGCCTGACCTTGCGCTTTCTAGGTATCGGAAGATCTGTTGAAGGCTCCGCTCCATTGACCAGAGTATATATTCCTGGGTCCAGCCCACAGGGAGTTCTGAAACACTGGATGCAACAGTGTATGTCAATGTAATTGAAGTTTCATTAAAGTACCAGTAAGGAAAACAATAAGAGAGATTTAACTTAGAAAGGAGAAAGCTATCACAGTGAAGGAAGTAAAACAGAGTCCAGGTACTTTACGTCTAACTTTCACAGAATTTATCAGTAGAATAGGCTGAAGACAGGCTTTACTCACCATGTCAGGTTAGCTTCAGTGCAAGCCATCCTGAGGTTTTCTTCCCACTGTGGATCTGGGAGAAGAGGTGAAGAATCTGTCAGCCTCATGACTATTGATGATCATGATCATTTTGTCCAACCCCCTCTTTTTGCAAATAAGGAAACAAAGATGAAGTTATACCCAAGATCATAAAGCTAATTAGTGGTAGATCTCAGACTTAACCCATCTCAAGATTTTTCAAAAAGCCATACTATGCTGCCTTCATCATACAGTAGATGTAAGCTATATACTTTGGGAAGAATAGGAATAATCATAGTAATAAGCAGTGAGAGTAGGGGAAACAGAGGTCATGATACATATCTTTTTCTCCAAAGGAGTCTATCCAGTATCTGTGGTGGGGGGGAAAAGATAGGGAAACTTCCCTCACCAAACTCTTGGTAGTTACCCTTTGTCCATTCTAAATCTCACCAAGTTTCCTTCCCAATACCTTGGGCTTTGCACAAAAGGAGCTGAGGAAAGGAAGTATAAGGAAAGGAACCATGGAAAGAATTATGGAGCCGTATACATACATATCTTTAGACATGGAGATGCTAGAAAGAAGAGGCACACTTCTTCCATTTACATCCTCTTTTTCAACCTCCCTCCACCTGCTATTTAAGGCTAGAGTCATAAGGCTGACCCACAATTGGTCTGTTATTAACCTTGAGCTGAAGAGTAAAGGATAGGATCTCTCTGACCTGTTAATTTCTGGATCTTTTTCAATCTATGCTGCTTTGAAGTCTAGAGAAGCACAAAAAGAAAAAAGAAAATCAGATTATGTTCTAGGTTAGAGACTTTATTGACAGCACTTCTCACCTTTTAGATATCAGATATTGATACATCTCATGTATCAGATATTGATACAGTTGGCATCCATAACCACATGTAAATGCCGTAACAAACATATAAATATCAGGGAATATAGAGGACGGTGATTAACTTCCTAAGAGAGAAGGGAAGAGAATTATTCAAGAAGTTGCATTTGTACTGGAGTTTAAAGAATCAGCACAAGACTTTTAGGTGAAGAAAGAGTATTTCAGGCAAGTGGGAACATCACCGAGATCAGCATGTCATGATTGTCAGGTGCACTTTTGCTAAGTAGTGGGAGATGCTAGGCTGACAAGGTAGATGGAAGCCAGGTTATGCCTAATGGTAGAATTTTAATTTTATTCTGTAGTTGGAAAACTTCTGGGATTTTTTTCAAAGTGCTCCAGGTCATTTTAAAGGCAGTAATGACATTTGTTACAATTTCAAATAAAACAATTTTTTTTTTTTGAGATGGAGTCTCACTCTGTCGCCCAGGCTGGAGTGCAGTGGTGCCATCTCGGCTCACTGCAACCTCTGCCTCCTGGGTTCAAGCGATTCTCCTTCCTCAGCCTCCTGAGTAGCTAAGCCACCATGCCCAACTAATTCTTGTATTTTTAGTAGAGACGGGGTTTTGCCACATTGGCCAGGCTGGTCTCAAACCCCTGACCTGAGGTGATCCGCCCACCTCGGCCTCCCAAAGTGCTAGGATTACAGGTGTGAGCCACTGCACCCAGCCCAGCATCCTTTTAAATGCCAAATTAAGTTCCTCGAAAAAGAGTAAGGGAAATCCTTACAGGCCAAAATTAAGGAGAAAATTGAAAAACATGAGTAGAAAATCATCTGATACTTCAACGCCCCATATCATTTGTAGTGTCAGTCAGAAGGGATTTGGGTTAACAACAAGGTAGGAGCAAAAGACAAGGCCCATGTGAAGTGTGTATTTGGAATGGAGACCCTGGGAAAAAGCCAGAATTCTCAAAAGTGCTACATGTTTACTGGAAAAGTGGCTAGGAAAAAATCTGCCCACCACAAGAAAATTTGTACTCTAGGTGGGAAAAAACAAAAAACACCTTCTCTGAGAATTTTAACCATGAGTCTATCCTCATACTGGCTTGGAGTTCTAATTTATACCCACTGTGTAGCCAGGAACCCTCAAATTGAAAATCAAAGTGGAGTGAACCTGAGCTGGTAATGCTTTAGGGCAAAAGATGAAAGTAAATGTAAATCTCCTTGGAAATTAAAAAGGAGTAGAAGTGGTCAGATGCAGTGGCTCATGCCTGTAATCCCAGCACTTTGGGAGGCTAGGCAGGAGGATCACTTGTGCTCAGGAGTTTGAGACCAGCCTGGACAACATAGTGAGACCCTGTCTCTACAAAAAATAAAAAATAATTTTAAAAAATTAGCTGGGGCAGCCAGGCACGGTGGCTCATGCCTATAATCCCAGCACTTTGGGAGGCCGAGGCAGATGGATCACTTGGGGTTGGGAGTTTGAGACCAGCCTGGCCAATATGGTGAAACACCGTCTCTACTAAAAATACAAAAAATTAGCCAGGCATGGTGGCGTGCACCTGTAATCCCAGCTACTTGGGAGGCTGAGGCAGGAGAATTACTTCAACTTGGAAGGTGGAGGTTGCAGTGAGCTGAGATCACGCCACTGAACTCCAGGCTGGGTGACAGAGCAAGACTCAGTCTCAAAAAAAAAAAAAAATTAGCTGGGTGTGGTGGTGTGTGCCTGTGTTCCCAGATACTTGGGTGGCTGAGGTAGGAGGATCTCTGGAGCCTGGGAGGTCAAGGCTGCAGTGAGATGTGATCCTTCCACTGCACTCTCCAGCCTGGGTGATACAGTAAGACCCTGTCTCAAAAAAAAAAAAAAAAAAAAAAAAAAGAAGTAGAAGAGGAAGAAGAAAACAGTTTGAATAACTACACATTAATGAATATGAAAACTCTGATAAAATAGTTAAATTCCTAGAAAAAATATAAGATACCAAAACTGGCCAAAAAGAAATAGACCATTTGAGTAGATAGTAAGTATGAAAGCAGTTGAAATGATAATCAGACATTCTACGTCAGACATAATAAAATAATTCACCAAGGTTTCTGAATACCAGAACAACTTACAAATATCAGGAGCATTTCTCTACTACAGTAAAAACTATAAAAATATAATTTAATAAAAGATATTCTTCACAATAGCAATAAAAATTATAAAAGTATCAAGATATTAAGTAAACCAAGAATACAGAAGACTTCCATGTAGAAAACTGTAAAATTCTAAAAAAAACATAGAAGATGATCTGAATAAATGGAGAGATAGTCCAAGTTCTTGGTTGGAATAACTTGAAATCACAAAGATGTCAGTACTCCCCCAATTTTTTTTTTTTTTTGAGACAGAATCTCACTCTGTCGTCCAGGCTGGAGTGCAGTGGCGCGATCTCAGCTCACTGCAACCTCCACCTCCCAGGTTCAAGCGATTCTCCTGCTTCAGCCTCCTGAGTAGCTGGGACTACATGTGCGCACCACCAGGCCCAGCTAATTTTTATATTTTTAATAGAGATGGGGTTTCACCATGCCAAGCTGGTCTCGAACTCAAACTCCTGACCTCGTGATCCACCTGCCTCGGCCTCCCAAAGTGCTAGGATTACAGGCGTGAGCCACCGCACCCAGCCAAATTAAATTATATATATATATAATTATATATATGTGTGTGTGTGTCTGTATATAGACACATATATATATATTTATTTACTTTTTTTTTTTTTTGAGACAAGGTCTCGTTCTGTTGCCTAGGCTGGAGTGCAGTGGCATGATCATGGCTCACTACAGCCTCAACATCCTGGGCTCAAGTAATTCTCAGCCTCCCAAGTAGCTGGGACTACAGGTGCATGACCCCACACCTGGCTAATTTTTTTTTATTTTTTGTAGAGACGAGGTCTCATTATGTTGCCCAGGCTTAAATTATATTTTAATGCATTCCCAATTCATATTTCATTTGGAATGTTTCAAGAACTTGTTAAATGCTCTAAAATTAATATGACAAAATAAAGGCCTACTGATAGCTAAATCAACCCTAAAAAGAACAGCAAAGGAGGGACTTGCTGTACCAAACACTAAGATACATTACAAAGCTGTAGGAAATAAAAACAGGAACACATAGACCAATGGAACAGATAGAGAGCTCGGAGACAAGCTTATGTATACATGGCCATTTATTATAATAAAGGGAGTCCCATAAATCAATGGGAAAATGATTGTTTAGCAAATGGTGATGGGAATCGGGCAAAGTGACTCACGCCTGTAATCCCAGCACTTTGGGAGGCCAAGGCTGGCAGATTGCTTGAGCTCAGGAGTTTGAGACCAGCCTGGGCTATGTGACGAAACCCCATCTCTACAAAAAAATACAAAAAGCTAGCTGGGCGTGGTGGCACATGCCTGTGGTCCCAGCTACTCAGGAGGCTGAGGTAGGAAGATCACTTGAGCCCGGGAGGTGGTTGCTTTGAGCTGAGATCACACCACTGCACTCCAACTTGAGTGAAAGAGCGAAACCCTGTCTCAAAAAAAAAATGGTTATGGGAAAACTGGCTCATTATAGAGAAAAATAAAATTGTATCACTTCCTAATACCACATATAGAGGTGGACTCCAAGTATATTAAAAACTAAAATGTGAAATGTAAGACTGGAACATAGAAAAAAAGGTAGGAGAAAATCTTTGTGGCCTAGAGCAGAGAACTCCTTAAGGAAAACTTCAGAAAAATAAACCATAGGCATAATTGCTGAAAAAGAAGATTTTAAATGTTTCCGCCACACACACAAAAGAGATAAGTGAGATGATGGATATGTTAATTCACTTGATTTAATCAATCCACAGTGTAAACATGCAACAAACCATCACATTATACACCATAAATATATACATTGGTATGTCTCAAATTAGTTTTTTGTTTTGAGACAGAGTTTCCTTCTGTCACCCAGGCTGGAGTGCAGTAGCTCAAAGTTCATGGCAACCTCTGCCTCCCAAGCTCAAGCAATTCACACACCTCAGCCTCCTGGGGAAGCTGGGATTACAGGCATGCACCACCATGCCCCGGTCATTTTTGTATTTTTCGTAGGGACAGGGTTTCATCATATTGGCCAGGCTGGTCTCAAACTCCTGACCTCAAGTGATCCACCCTTCTTGGTCTCCTGAAGTGCATGAGCCACTGTGCCAGGCTCCTCAGAAATTTTTTAATCCAGTAGAAGACCTTCCCACATGCAAATGGAACCTCAAAATGACAAATCTACCACTCACTCCTAACCTTGGGTAACTGCAAAGAAAGTTGCCTTCACACTGAGAATTCCAGGGGTCTGGGGTGAAATCCCTGAGAAGTCATAACCACAGACTAACTTTTGTATATTTGGCAGCTCAAGTTCACATTATCTGGGTTGTCCCAAAAAACCTTCAAGCCATGAATTTAAAGTGGTCCTGGACTGATTGATGGTGCCAGAGTCAAAAGTAAATGAAATATTCTTTATGGAGGCTGGGCGCGGTGGCTCACACCTGTTAATCCCAGCACTTTGGGAGGCCGAGGCAGGCGGATCACGAGGTCAGGAGATCGAGACCATCCTGGCTAACACAGTGAAACCCCGTCTCTACTAAAAATACAAAAAATTAGCTGGGTGTGGAGGCGGGCGCCTGTAGTCCCAGCTACTCAGGAGGCTGAGGCAGGAGAATGGCGTGAACCCGGGAGGCTGAGCTTGCAGTGAGCCGAGATCTTGCCACTGCACTCCAGCCTGGGTGACAGAGCAAGACTCCATCTCAAAAAAAAAAAAAAATACTCTTTGAGGAAAATATTCATCCTAGGCTTCAAAATCCTCACAAATATCGTATTTTATTAAATTTAAGATGCTATTGATTATAAAATGTACCATCAATTTATATGTAGTAGAATGAAAAAATACAGTCAAATTATTAAATACCATCAATTGTAAGACATACTCCAATTTCAGAAGTGTTAACTATTAAAAAATAAGGACAAGTGCAGAAACAAACCTGCAAAGATGTCAGGTATTGGAATTTTCAGAGGTAGATTAGAAAACACCTATGCATATTATATTTAAAGAAATAAAATGCCAGGCATGGTGGCTCACGCCTGTAATCCCAGCACTTTGGGAGGCTGAGGTGGGCGGATGATGAGGTCAAGAGATTGAGACCATCCTGGCCAACATGGTGAAACCCCATCTCTACTAAAAATACGAAAATTAGCCAGGCATGGTGGTGCGCGCCTGTAGTCCCAGCCACTCAGGAGGCTGAGGCAGGAGAATTGCTTGAACTCGGGAGGTGGAGGTTGCAGTGAGCTGAGATCACGCCACTGCCCTCCAGCCTGGGCAACCAAGTGAGACTCCATCTCAAAAAAAAAGAAAAAAGAAAAAAAATAAATAAAATACAAGTATAAATTTGTAAGAAACAGAAACCCATAAAAAGTTATCTAGCAGATTTGAAAACAGAATCAAATCTTACTTCCAGAAATTAATAAGAATGCAAAGTACTGAAATGGATGGGCTTACTAGCATTGATAAAACATTTCTGAATAAAGAATGGATAAGCACATATATTTAAATCTGAGGAGTAACCACTAAAATAATAGAAACAGAGTTCATAACTTCCAAGCTAGTAGAAGGGGAAAAAATGGAAAGAAAAAAAGCACCAGTTTGGGATTTCAATTTATAGTAATGGTTTGAACCCTCCAAATGAAAACAACAAGAAAAGTTGGACAAAATATGTTTTAAAATATCCATTTAAAGTCATTAGAGACCTATCAAGGGATCAAAAACCAGAAGAGCCAAGATCCTAGAGAAAAAGGAAGTGGAGGGAAATAAGCCCAGCTAAACTGAAATTTCACAGTTTTATGGGAATAGATGAACAAAAAAATGAGTTGAGAACCCCTAATATCCCCGGCTTTCAGCTGGAATCCCCGAAGGGCTATACCTAGGAGTAAGAATAAACCTGAAATAAACCAGGCTCAAAAATGGAAGCTCAGCCTCTGATAAATTTAATCCTTTATTGGATTGAGATGATCCCTCATCTAAATGACTGCCAGAAGCAAAAATATCGCTACTCTCTGGAGGAAAGTAACTTTATCCAGAACCTTGAATTTTCTCTTCAAAATTATATATAAAATCTCTGGTATTAAATAAAAAATTGCCATGCTTACTAGAAGACAAGACCGACTGACTGAAGACTAAGAGATAAACATGGGGAATAAAAACAAATCCAAGGCAATCCAGATATTGGTGTAATAAAACATGGATTTTAAAATATATGCCCTTTAGCTCTCCCTCTCCCTCTCCCTCTCCCTCTCCCTCTCCCTCCCCCTCCCTCTCCCTCTCCCTCTCCCTCTCCCTCCACGGTCTCCCTCTGATGCCGAGCCAAGGCTGGACGGTACTGCTGCCATCTCGGCTCACTGCAACCTCCCTGCCTGATTCTCCTGCCTCAGCCTGCCGAGTGCCTGCGATTGCAGGCGCGCACCGCCACGCCTGACTGGTTTTCGGTTTTTTTTGGTGGAGACGGGGTTTCGCTGTGTTGGCCGGGCTGGTCTCCAGCTCCTAGCCGCGAGTGATCCGCCAGCCTCGGCCTCCCGAGGTGCCGGGATTGCAGATGGAGTCTCGTTCACTCAGTGCTCAATGGTGCCCAGGCTGGAGTGCAGTGGCGTGATCTCGGCTCGCTGCAACCACCTCCCAGCCGCCTGCCTTGGCCTCCCGGAGAGCCGAGATTGCAGCCTCTGCCTGGCCGCCACCCCGTCTGGGAAGTGAGGAGCGTCTCTGCTTGGCCACCCATCGTCTGGGATGTGAGGAGCCCCTCTGCCTGGCTGCCCAGTCTGGAAAGTGAGGAGCGTCTCTGCCCGGCCGCCATCCCATCTGGGAAGCGAGGAGCGCCTCTTCCCCGCCGCCATCCCATCTAGGAAGTGAGGAGCGTCTCTGCCCGGCCGCCCATCGTCTGAGATGTGGGGAGCACCTCTGCCCCGCCGCCCTGTCTGGGATGTGAGGAGCGCCTCTGCTGGGCCGCAGCCCTGTCTGGGAGGTGGGGAGCGTCTCTGCCCGGCCGCTCCGTCTGAGAAGTGAGGAAACCCTCTGCCTGGCAACCGCCCCGTCTGAGAAGTGAGGAGCCCCTCCGTCCGGCAACCACCCCGTCTGGGAAGTGAGGAGCGTCTCCGCCCAGCAGCCACCCCGTCCGGGAGGGAGGTGGGGGGGGTCAGCCCCCCGCCCGGCCAGCCGCCCCGTCCGGGAGGTGAGGGGCTCCTCTGCCCGGCCGCCCCTACTGGGAAGTGAGGAGCCCCTCTGCCTGGCCAGCCGCCCCATCCGGGAGGGAGGTGGGGGGGTCAGCCCCCCGCCCGGCCAGCCGCCCCGTCCGGGAGGGGGGAGGGGGGGTCAGCCCCCTGCCCGGCCAGCCGCCCCGTCCGGGAGGGAGGTGGGGGGGGTCAGCCCCCCGCCTGGCCAGCCGCCCCGTCCGGGAGGGAGGTGGGGGGATCAGCCCCCCGCCTGGCCAGTCGCCCCGTCCGGGAGGTGAGGGGCGCCTCTGCCCGGCCGCCCCTACTGGAAAGTGAGGAGCCCCTCTGCCCGGCCAGCCGCCCCGTCCGGGAGGGAGGCGGGGGGGGGGGGGTCGGCCAGCCGCCCGGTCCGGGAGGGAGGTGGGGGGGGTCAGCCCCCCTTCCGGCCGGCCGCCCCGTCCGGGAGGTGAGGGGCGCCTCTGCCCGGCCGCCCCTACTGGGAAGTGAGGACCCCTCTGCCCGGCCAGCCGCCCCGTCCGGGAGGGAGGTGGGGGGGACAGCCCCCCGCCCAGCCAGCCGCCCTATCCAGGAGGTGAGGGGCGCGTCTGCCCGGCCGTCCCTACTGGGAAGTGAGGAGCCCCTCTGCCTGGCCAGCCGCCCCGTCCGGGAGGGTGGTGGGGGGGTCAGCCCCCCGCCCGGCCAGCCGCCCCATCCGGGAGGTGAGGGGCGCTTCTGCCCGGCCGCCCCTACTGGGAAGTGAGGAGCCCCTCTGCCCGGCCACGACCCCGTCTGGGAGGTGTGCCCAGCGGCTCATTGGGGATGGGCCACGATGACAATGGCGGTTTTGTGGAATAGAAAGGCGGGAAGGGTGGGGAAAAAATTGAGAAATCGGATGGTTGCCGGGTCTGTGTGGATAGAAGTAGACATGGGAGACTTTTCATTTTGTTCTGTACTAAGAAAAATTCTTCTGCCTTGGGATCCTGTTGATCTGTGACCTTATCCCCAACCCTGTGCTCTCTGAAACATGTGCTGTGTCCACTCAGGGTTAAATGGATTAAGGGCGGTGCAAGATGTGCTTTGTTAAACAGATGCTTGAAGGCAGCATGCTCGTTAAGAGTCATCACCACTCCCTAATCTTAAGTACCCAGGGACACAAACACTGCGGAAGGCCAAGGCCGCAGGGTCCTCTGCCTAGGAAAACCAGAGACCTTTGTTCACTTGTTTATCTGCTGACCTTCCCTCCACTATTGTCCTATGACCCTGCCAAATCCCCCTCTGCGAGAAACACCCAAGAATGATCAATAAAAAAAAAATAAATTAATTAAAAAAAAAAAAATATATGCCCTTTATATATACAAGAAATTAGATGACGAGATGGAGAATTTTGGCCAAGAACTAAAAACTGAAAAAAAATAAAAAAAATCTAATGGAAATTCTAGAACAGGAGAAATAAAGAACTCAGTAAGGGGTACAGATTAGACACAACTGAAGAAATGTCTGAAGAAAATATCCATAATGAAGCATGGAAAGAAAATAGATAAAAGAGCCAATAGGTATATGGGACACAGTAATAGGAGTCCCAGAAGGAAAGGGGAGACAGGAGTCCCAGACACAAAGGCAAGCAGAAACAACATTTGAAAGCTAACAGTGCAGGGAGTATATGGTAACTGTCTGTACTTTCTGCTCAATTTTGCTGTGAACCTAAAAACTGCTTTAAAATACAGTCTATTAAAAAAAAAAAAAAGGGCTTTCCAAAACTGAGAAAGCCTAAGGTGCAAGCCTTAGATGCAAGAAGTGTTATGAAGCAGCATGAAGACAAAGAAAACCTAAACTTAAGTACACTACAGAATGCTGAATACCAACACAATGAATTTTTTTTTTTTTTTTTTTTTTTGAGATGGAGTCTTGTCCAGCTCGTCAGCATGCTGGAGTGCAGTGGCGCGATCTCGGCTCACTGCAACCTCCGCCTCCCCAATTCAAGCACTTCTTCTGCCTCAGCTTCCCAAGTAGCTAGGACTACAGGCACATGCCACCATGCCCAGCTAATTTTTGTATTTTTAGTAGAGACGGTGTTTCACCATGTTGGCCAGGATGGTCTCGATCTCTTGACCTCATGATCCGCTCGCCTCAGCTTCCCAAAGTGCTGGGATTACAGGCGTGAGCCACCGCACCCAGCCCTAACACAATGGGTCTTAACCAGCAAAAATAAAAGATGCATTATATTCAAAGGAGGAATAAGATGAATAGTTGATATCTTTTAGAAATATTGGAAGCCAGAAAACAATAGAATAACATCTTTTAATGTGCTAAAAGAGACTAAGTGCCTACCTAGATATTTTTTTTCCTTTTAGAGACCAGATCTCTAAAAGGAAACTGCACCGCACTGCAGTGCGGTGACACAATCATAGCTCACTGTAACCTCAAACTCTTGGGCTCAAGCAATCATCCTGTCTCAGCCTCCTGAGTAGCTAGGACTACAGGTGCACACCACCACACCCAGCCAGTTTTTTTTTGGTTTTTGGAGAGATGGGATCTTACTGTGTTTCCCATGCTGGTCTCAAACTGCTGGCCTCAAGTGATCCTCCTGTCTTGGCCTCTCAAAGTGCTGGGATTACAGGCATGAACCATAGCACATGGCTCTTAGACTTTTATACTTAGTGAAACTACCCTTCAAAATTTAAGGCAAAATAGAGAAATTTTCAGTCAAAGAAAAGCAAACTATTCATAGTATGCCTAATTGGTCTGCCTAGGACTTTCAAAACAATGTTGAATAGAAGTAGTGAAAACAGGATTTATTCCAAGAACGCAAAGATTTTTCAACATAAGAAAATAAATCACTGTAATATACCACATTAATAACATAAAAAAGAAAAACTCACATGATCCTATAAATTGATGCAGAAAAAAGCATTTGACATAATCCTACAATAATTTATAATAAAAACACTCAACCAAACAGGAATAGAAGGAGACTTCCTTAGCATGATAAAGAGCATTGCAATGGGCTCAATGTTTATGTCCCCCCCAAAATTCATATGTTGAAATCCTTACCCTCAATGTAATGTATTAGTAGATGAGGCCTTTGGGAAGTGATTAGGTCATGAGGGGTTTCCCTCTTGAATGGGATTAGTGTCCTTACAAAAAATTCTCCAGAGGACTGGGCACGGTGGCTCACACCTGTAATCCCAGCACTTTGGGAAGCTGAGGTGGGTGGATCACTTAAGGCCAGGAGTTTGAGACCAGCCTGGTCAACATGGCGAAACCCTGTCCCTACTAAAAATACAAAAATTAGCCGGGCATGATGGCACATGCCTGTAATCCCAGCTACTCAAATAGCTGAGGCACAAGAATTGCTTGAACCCAGAAGGAGGAGGTTCCAGTGAGCTGAGATCATGCCACTGCACTCCAGACTTGGCAACAGAGCAAGACTCTGTCTCAAAAACAAAACAAAACAAAAACAAAAAACTCCAGAGATATCTCTCAGTCTTTCCACCATGTAAAAACACAGTAAGAAGTTGCCAGTCTGCAACCTAGAAGTACCTCACCAGAATCTGACCACGCTGGCACCCCAATCCTGGACTTCCCAGCCTCCAGAGCTGTGAGAAAAAAGTTTCTGTTGTTTATAAGCCACCCAGTTAATGATATTTTGTTACAGAAACCTGAATGGACTAAGATAGAAATTGGTACCAAGAAGTGAGGGTGCTGTTGCCACAAACACCAAAAAATGCATAATGAGAAGAGGGTGGAAGAGTTTTGAGGCGCATGCTAGAAAAAGCCTACATTGCCATAAATGAACTATTAAGGGTGATGCTGCTGAGGGCTCAGAAAGAAAAGAGGAGAATTGTAGAGAAAGCTTCCATCTTCTTAGAGAATATCTAAGTAATCACGAACACAATGTTTGTAGAAATATGCACAGTAAAGGCCATTCTGACGAGGTCTCAGAGAGAAATAAGGAACATATTATTAGAAACAGAGAAATGGTGGTCCTTATAAAGTGGCAAAGAACTTAACAGAATTATGTTCATGTTCTAGTGTTCTATGGAAAGTAGAACTTGTGAGTCACGAAACTGGATATTTAGCTAATGAGATTTCTTTTCTTTTTTTTTGAGACAGAGTTTTTTTCTTGTTGCCCAGGCTGGAGTGCAGTGGTGTGATCTCAGCTCACTGCAACCTCCGCCTCCCGGGTTCAAGCAATTCTCCTGCCTCAGCCTCCCGAGTAGCTGGGATTACAGGCACATGCCACCACACCCGGCTAATTTTTGTATTTTTAGTACAGACAGGGTTTCACCATGTTGGCCAGGCTGGTCTCGAACTCCTGACCTCAGGTGATCTGCCTGCCTCAGCCTCCCAAAGTGCTGGGATTACAGGCACAAGCCACCATGCCCGGCCAGCTAATGAGATTTCTAAGTAAAGTTTTGAAGAAGTGCCTTGGTTCTCCTGTTTGTGGTAAAATGAGAGAAGAATTGACTTGAAGATGGAATTATAAGGAATTAGAATTTAAGGATATGAAAAGTTTTCAGCCTATCCCTTTTGCAAAAAATGAGAAAGTGTATTCAAAGAGAACACTAAAGGTGTGACCAAGTGACCCTTTGATAAGGAGATCAGTATATGTGTGAAACATGGACTTAATCAGCCACCACAGCAGGAAAACTGCCAGGTTGAACTGAAGGAGCAGGAGATGGGAGGGAATGAGAGAAGGCTGTTGGTCTTCTTGAATTTTACAATTTGGGACCATAGAGCTCTTCAGCCACAAACATACACTATTCTGGAAGACAAGGAAAGAATAACCTGGAAGGTGATTCAGAGATCATCGGGGCTGCCACCTCAGTTTCAAAAAGAGGGACCATTGCCTCACTTTCAACAGGTTAGACAACCTCTACCCAAAGCTGTGTGGGCAGGGCCACCTGGCAAAGTCCTGGGGCTGCAACTCCTGCCAAGTAGAGCCACTGGAGCAGGTCCTTCACTCCGGTGGGTCTAGAAGTCAGGAACATTGCCCCAGTGATGCCTCATCTGTTTAAAATTGTACAGAAGTTCTAACCAGAGCAATTAGGCAAGGAAAAGAAAAGCCATGCAAATTAGAAAGGAACAAGTAAAACTGTGTTCACAGATGACACATCTTACATACAGAATATCGGAAAGAAACCAGAAGAAACCTATTAGAGCTAATAAAAGCAACTCCATTTTTAGCATCCAAAATAATAAAATACTCAGGAATAAATTTAATCAAGGACATGCAAGATTGTACACTGAGAGGTTCAAAGCATTGTTGAAAAACTAAAGAAGACCTAAATAAATGGAAAGACATCCCTTGTTCATGGATTGGAATATTTAATATTATTAAAATGGCAATATTCCCCAAAGCAATCTACAGATTCAGTATAATCCCTATCAAAATCCCAATAGCCTTTTTTACAGAAATGAAAAAGCTGGTCCTAAAATTCATATGGAATTACAAAGGTCCCTAAATAGCCAAAACAATCTTGAAAAAGAACAAAGTTGGAGGACTCATACTTCCTGATTTTAAAACTTACGAAGCTGTAGTAATCAAAACAGTGTGGTACTGGCATAAGGATAAACATATAGATCTATGAAATCAAATTGGGTCTAGAAATAAATCCATACATCTACAAATCAATTGATTTTCTATAAGGGTAACAAGACCATTAGATAGGAAAATAATAGTCTCTTCAACAAATGGTGCTGGGACAACTAGATAGCCACATGCAAAAGAATGAAGTTGGACTCTTAATTCACACCATCTAATTCAAAAAATTAATTCAAAATGATGCAAAGACCTAAATGTAAGAGCTGTAAAACTATAAAACTCTCAGAAGAAAACATAGGATTGTGATGGTTAATTTCATGTCAACTTGGCTAAGCTATGTGCCCAGCTGTTTGTTCAAAAGCTAGTCTAGGGCTGGGCACGGTGGCTCACACCTGTAATCCCAGCACTTTGGGAGGCCAAGGCGGGTGGATCATGACGTCAAGAGATCAAAACCATCCTGGCCAACATGGTGAAACCTCGTCTCTACTAAAAATACAAAAATTAGCTGGGCATGGTGGTGCACGCCTGTAGTCCCAGCTACTCGGGAGGCTGAGGAAGGAGAATTGCTTGAATCCAGGAGGCGGAGGTTGCAGTGAGCTGAGATGGCACCTCTGCACTCCAGAGGGAGACTCCATCTAACAACAACAAAAAAAAAAGCTAGTCTAGATGTTGCTTGTTGCTGTGAAAGTAGTTTTCAGATGTGCTTAACATTTAGAATTAGTACACCTTAAAGCTGATTAATGTCCATAATGTGGGTGGGCATCACCCAATCAGTTGAAGGCCTTGAGAGCAGAGACTGAGGTTTCCTGAAGAGGAAGGTATTCTGCCTCAAGACTGCAATGGAAAATCCTTGCCTGAGTTTCTAGCCTGGCCTATGCTGACTTTGGACTCAAGACTACAACATCAACTCTTGAGTTTCTGGTCTGCCCTATGGATTTCTGATTTGTAAGCCCTGACAATTTTGTGAGCCGATTTCTTAAAATCTCTCTCTCCCTGTCTCTTTTTCATATATGTGTGTTTGTTATAATAAAGAATAATCTGGTTTTGTCCCAGGTGCCTAGCATAAAACATCAGAAGCCTTTAGAATTTTGTGTTAGGGGTGTCTCTCATATAACGAGGTGAAAAAGAGAAATTACTTCTCCTATGTTAGGAGGCAGGGATAACCTTGATTCTAAAATCTAATAAGGACAATATTAGAAAGAAAAATCATAAGCCAATCTCTTTCATGAACACAGATGCAAAAGTCCTAAACAAAATATCAGCAAAGTTAATCCAATAATATATGAAAAGCATCCGCCAGGCACAGTGGCTCACACCTGTAATCCCAGCACTTTGGGAGGCCAAGGCAGGTGGATCACTTGAGGTCAGGAGTTCGAGACCAGCCTGTCCAACTTGATGAAACCCTGTCTCTACTAAAAATACAAAAACTTAGCCGAGTATGGTGGCAGGTGCCTTAGTCCCAGCTAGTAGAAAGGCTGAGGCAGGACAATCACTTGAATCCAGCAGGCAGAGGTTGCAGTGAGCTGAGATCATACCACTGCACTCCAACCTGGGTGACAGAGTGAGACTCCATCTCAAAAAAAAAAGAAGAAAAAGAAAAGAAAATAAACAAAAGCATCATGAACATATTATATTTATTCCAAGAATTCACAGTTGTTTTGTTTTCAAAACTCAGTGTAATTCAGCACATTAATAGGATAAATAAGAAAACCATATAACCATCTCACATAGAGACATGAAAATCACTTGATAAAATTTATCACCCAGCCAGGCGCAGTGACTCATGCTTATAATCTCAGCACTTTGGGATGTCAAGGCAGGCAGATCACCTGAGGAAAGGAGTTTCAGCACAGCCTAACCAAAATGGTGAAATCCCATCTCTACTAAAAATACAAAAATTAGCCAGGCCTGGTGGCACTTGCCTGTAATCCCAGCTACTCAGGAGACTGAGGCACAAGAATCGCTTGAACCCAGGAGGCGGAGGTTGCAGTGAGCAGAGATTGCACCACTGCACTCCAGCCCGGGCAATAGAGTGAGACTCTGTCTCAAAAAAAAAAAAAAAAAAAAAAAAATTTAACACCCATTCATACTAAAACTATTTGCAGACTGGAAATAAAAGGGAACCTCCTTAATTTGATAGAGTATTTTGTAAATACACTCTATCAAACATTACACATAAATGATGTGTAATGTTTATATAGCAAACATTACACATAAATGATGAATTATTGCAAACTATCCTCTACATTAAAAAAAAAAGAATCCCCACTATACCATCTCTATTGAACATTGTAGAGGAAGTCCTAATCAATGGAATAATACAAGAAAAAGAAAAGGTATAAGAATCAGAAAGAAAGAAATAAAATTATCATTTGCAGACAATATAGTTGTGTAGAATATCCAAAACATCTATAGATAAATAATTAGAATTGATAAGCAAATTTAGCAAAGTCTCTAGGTAGAAAGTCAATTTATAAAAATCTTTTGTGTTTTCAAGTATCAGGATCATTTAGAAAATGACATTTAAGGCTGGGTATGGTTGCTCATGCCTGTAATCCCAGCACCTTGGGAGGCCAAGGTGAGAGGATTGCTTGAGGCCAGGAATTGAAGACCAGCCTGGGCAATATAGTGAGACCCCATCTCCACAAAAGAAATTTTATTTATTTTTATTTTTTGAGGCGGAGTCTTGCTCTGTCACCCAGGTTGGAGTGCAGTGGTGTGATCTTAGCTCACTGCAACCTTCGCCTCCCAGGCTCAAGTGATTCTCCTACCTCAGCCTCCCAAGTAGCTGAGACTACAGGCATGCCATCATGCCAGACTAATTTTTTGTATTTTTAGTAGAGATGGGGTTTCACCATGTTGGCCAGGCTGGTCTTGAACTCCTGACCTCAGGTGATCCCACCTGACTAAGTCTCCCAAAGTGCTGGGATTACAGGTGTGAGCCACCACACCTGGCCTCCACAGAAGAAATTTTAAAAATTAGCCAGGTATGGTGACACATTCCTGTAGTCCTAACTACTCAGGAGGCTGAGGTGGTCGGATCACTTGAGCCCAAAAGTTCAAGGCTGCAGTGACTATGATTGTGCCACTGCACTTCAGCCTGGACAACACAAAGAGATCCTATCTCTTAAAAAAAAAAGTAAATAAATAAAAGAAAATGACATTTAAAATACCACACCAAACCAGACATTATGTGCCTCTTGATGATTATCATCACCTATGAAATATCTTCTTCCCCTCCTCAAAAAATATGAATTCTGATAAGTCTTAGATCCAACTTCCCCATTTACAAAACATACAGGACATAAGGGAACATGTTAAATGACAATACGGACATTTAATCAGCAAAATGTTAACTGCAAAATCTAAAGGACAAATAACCCATTTCTTTTTTTTTTTTTTTTTTTTTTTGAGACGGAGTCTCACTCTGTTGCTCAGGCTGGAGTGCAGTGGCGTGATCTCAGCTCATGCAACTTCCGCCTCCTGGGTTCAAGCAATTCTCCTGCCTCAGCCTCCCCAGTAGCTGGGATTACAGGCGCGTGCCACCACACCTGGCAAATTTTTTGTATTTTTAGTAGAGATGGGGTTTCACCATGTTGGCCAGGCTGGTCTTGAACTCCTGACCTCAAGTGATCCAAGCACCTCGGCCTCCCAAAGTGCTGGGATTACATGCTTGAGCCACTGCACCAGGCCCCATTTCTTCAACACATAAATAAATGGACAGAATAAAATAAAGAAATGAAGATGGAGAATTTACAGATTAGAAGACACTTAAGAGACTCACAAATCCATTTCAATCTGTGATCTTGAATCAAACAGACTATAAATAATAATTTATATCACTTAGGAGACAATTGGGATTTTTTTTTTTTTTTTGAAACAGGGCCTGGCTCCGTCACCCAAGCTGGAGTGCTGTGGAGTAAACTTGGCTCAATGCAACCTCTTCCCCCGAGGCTCAAGTGACCCTCCCACCTCAGCCTCCTGAGTAGCTGGGACCACAGGCGCACACCACCACACCCAGCTAATTTTTATATTGTTAGTAGAGTCAGGGTTTCACCATGTTGCCCAGGCTGATCTCCAACTCCTGAGCTCAAGCAATCCTCCTGCCTCAGTCTCCCAAAGTGCTGGGGTTACAGACTTGAGTCACTGCACCCAGGCGATAATTGGAGTTTGAATGCTGAAGGGTATTTGATGGTATTAAGAAACTACTGTTAAGTCCGGGCGCGGTGGCTCACACCTGTAATCCCAGCACTTTGGGAGGCCGAGGTGGGCAGATCACGAGGTCAGGAGATCCAGACCACGGTGAAACCCCGTCTCTACTAAAAATACAAAAAATTAGCCAGGCACAGTGGCAGGCGCCTGTAGTCCCAGCTACTGGGGAGGCTGAGGCAGGAGAATGGCGTGAACCCAGGAGGTGGAGCTTGCAGTGAGCCGAGACTGTGCCACTACACTCCAGCCTGGGTGACAGAGCAAGACTCTATCTCAAAAAAAAAAAAAAAAAAAAGAAATTACTATTAAATTTTTTGGCATGATAATGGTATTGTGTTTAACTATTTTTAAAGAGTTCTTATGTTTTAGATATACTAAAATATTTACAAATGAAATTATATTATCTGGGATTTACTTCAAAATAATAAGGTAAGAGAGTTGAAGCTGGGTGATGGATCCATGAAGATTCATGACACACTTCTATATATTTTCAATTTGTTTAAAATTTTCTTAATAAAAATGAAAAAGTATTACTATAGCTTCAAAAAACCCCTCTATATTGAAAACTATTATTGAGATAAATTAAGAAAGTCTAAATAAACGAGACATGAACACACTCATAGATCAGAAGGCTTATTATTTTGGGGATGTCAGTTATCTCCAATTAAACTATAAATCCAATACATTCTCAATCTAAAACCCTGCATGTTTTGTGTGACAATTAACAGGATGATTCACAGATTTATATGGAAATGTCAATGACCTAGAATAGTTAAGACAACTTCAAAGGTCAAAGTTGGGACCAGGCCTGGTGGCTCACACCTGTAATCCCAGCACCTTGGGAGGCCAAGGTGAGCAGATCATCTGAGGTCAAGAGTTCAAGACTAGCCTGGCCAACATGGTTAAACCTTATCTCTACTAAAAAATACAAAAATTAGCTGGGCATGGTGGTGTGCACCTGTAATCCCAGCTACTCGGGAGGCTGAGGCAGGAGAATCACTTGAACCTGGAAGGCGGAAGTTGCAGTGAGCTGAGATCACCTCACTGCCCTCTAGCCTGGGTGACAGAGTGAGACTGTCTCAAAAAAAAAAAAAAAAGATCAAAGTTGGAAGACTTACATTACCAAATTTTAAGTCACTACAAAGCTACATTATTGAAAATAGCAAGATATCAGTGTGAGGATAGGCAGACCAATGTAACAAAACAGAGAGTCCCGAAATAGACCCACATGTATACATTTACCTGATTTATGACAAGGTCACCAATAAAATTCAATGAGAATAGGATGGTCTTTTCAATAAATGGTGCTGGAGGAAAGGACAGGGATTACAGTGAAGTGGTGAGAAAGAGTCGTGAAAGTGTAGGGTCAGATTTTAAATTCTGATATTTTGTTCATCATGGATTTTTTTGCATTAATTTTTATTTTTAAATAATATTGCATTAGGCCAGGCATGGTGGCTTATGCCTGTAATCCTACACTTTGGGAGGCCAAGGCAGGCAAATTACTTGAACTGAGGAGTTCGAGACCAGACTGGGCAACATGGCAAAACCTCATCTCCACAAAAAACACAAAAATTAGCCAGGTGTGGTGAAGCATGTCACTGGTCCCAGCTACTTGGGAGGTTGAGGTGGAAGTATCACTTGAGCCCAAGAGGTTGAGGCTGCAGTGAGCTGTAATCACACCACTGCACTTCAGCCTGGGCAACAGAATAAAATCTTGTCTCAATAAGAAAAAGAATAAGAACGTTTCATTAAATATCTCGATTATTAAGTTTTTTGGTGTTCCTTACATTTTGTGTTCAAGGTGAGTACCTCACTCATTTTTATCCTAGTTCCTGCCCTACTGGAAGAATTAGATATCTATATGGGGAGGAGGGGAGTGTTGACCCCTACCTCACACCATACACAAAAAGTAATTTGAGATGGATCATAGAGCTAAATGTGAAAGAAAAAAAATAAGGGTTCTAGAAGAAATATAGAAGGGTATCTTCATGGCCTAGTGGTTAGCAAAGGTTTCTTGCACTGGGGATAGGGGTAGGGAGGGGAACACTAATCTTAAGAACATAACTTCATAAATTGGATTTCATTAAAATTTAGAACTTTTGGTCATTAAGACACAATTGTAAATGAAAAAGTGAGTCACAGAGTGGTAGAATTTATTTTAAATACCTTTATCTGGCAAAGGACTCATGTCCATAGTATTCAAAGAATTCCTACAAATCAGTTAAGTAAAAGAAACCCAATTATTAAAAATATGCAAAAGACTTGAACAGCCAGTTCACAAAAGAGAATTTCCAAATGGCCAATAAACATGAGAAGTTGCACATTATCATAAGTCATTAGGGAAATGCACATTAAAACCACAATGCAATACCACACAGACTCACCAGAGTGACTAAAATGAAAAAGATGAACTGGGTGCAATGGCTCACACCTGTAATCTCAGCACTTTGGGAGACCGAGGGGGGCAGATCACCCAATGTCAGGAGTTCAAGACCAGCCTGGCCAACATGGTGAAACCCCACCTAAAAAAGCAGCCAGGCATGGTGGCGCACACCTGTGGTCCCAGCTACTTAGGAGGCTGAGGCAGGAGAATCACTTGATCTCAGGAGGCAGAGGTTGCGTGAACCAAGATAGCATCACTGCATTTCAGGCTGGGAGACAGAGCAAGACTCCGTCTCAAAAAAAAAAAAAAGAAAAAGGAAAAGATGGACAATGCCAAGTGTTGGCAAGAAGGTGGAGCAACTAGAATTCTCAGACGCTATTCTTGGTATAATCACTTTAGAAAACTGGTGTCATCTACTAAAATTAAACATATATACCACATGACCAAGCAATTCCTCTCCTATTGGAGATAAGAAACCCACCAACAATGCATTATGTGTAATTAAAATCCTGAAACCTTCTTCTTTATCATATAGATATAACTTTTTTAACCACAAAAAATAAACAGGCCAGGTGTGGTGGCTCACACCTGTAATCCCAGCACTTTGGGAGGCCAAGGCGGGCAGATCACCTGAGGTCAGGAGTTCGAAACCTGTCTGGCCAACATGGCAAAACTCCATCTCTCCTAAAACTACAAAAATTAACTGGGCATGGTGGTGCATGCCTGTAGTCCCAGCTACTTGGGAGGCTGAGACAGGAGAATCACTTGAACCTGGGAGATGGAGGTTGCAGTGAGCCGAGATTGAGCTATTGCACTCCAGCCTGTGCAACAGAGTAAGATTCTGTCTCAAAAAAAAAAAAAAATTTGACTTTTTGAAATGCAATGTGCAAGAATTCCAAATATAAGATCACAGAGCCTTTTTTTGGCTATTTTTAATGCCACAATAGGTAGTTAAATTTCATTCTACATTTCAATATACGCTGGGTCCCCAAATTAACAAGCATGATATGGTATAATGTCACTTTAAAATTTGTTGTTGTCGGCCGGATGAAGTGGCTTAGGCCTATAATCCCACTGCTTTGGGAGGCTGAGGTGGGCGGATCACCTGAGGTCAGGAGTTCAAGACCAGCCTGACCAACCAGCCTGGCCAACATGGTGAAACCTCGTCCCTACTAAAAATACAAAAGTTAGCCAGGCATGGTGGCATGCATCTGTAATCCCAGCTACTTGGTAGGCTGAGCCAAGAGAATCGCTTGAATCTGGGAGGCAGAGGCTGCAGCGAGCCAAGATTGCGCCACTGTACTCCAGCCTGGGTGACAGAGCAAGACTCCGTCTCAGAAAAAAAAAAAAAAAAAAAAATTGTTGTCAACAAGATGAATCTCAAACACATTATGCTTAGCAAAAGAAGTCAGACACACAAGAATATATGCTGTATGATTCTACTTTTTGCAAGGTTCAAGAACAGGCAAAACTAGTCCATGACAATAGAAATCAGAATAGAGGTTGTGTCTGAGCAGAGAGGAGGGCAGAGACTAGAAAATAACATGAGGGAACTATTCAGGGTTATGGCTATGCCATATCTTTATTAGGGTTTTAGTTACATGGGTATATAAATTTATCAAAACTCATCACCCTATACAATTAATATATGTGCATTTTATGGTATTCAATTATACCTTAATAAAAATGTATTTGTTAACAAAAAAGCTTTTTATTACATAAATATGTAGAAAGAAATTGTATTTGTTGATTTATGAAGCAGAGTGACTTCCTGAGTAATTTACACTGTATTTTTATTGCGGCATCTTTCTGAGAAAGGAAGTAGATTCATGTATTCCCATACCAAAGAAGGTAGCCAGGCCTTTGTTCTTAGGGTCTTGGAACTCCTAATGCACAGCAGGGACTTAGTTTTTCAGGACTGAAAAAAATTGTCAGGAACCTAAAAAACAACCGTCAATAAGTCTAGATCTGCGAAAATTTTAAGCTGAAACGTGCCAGAGGGTTGAGACAGGAGGGAAGCTGGCTCCTTGAAATGGAAACAATGCTGAAGCTGCAGGTGCACTGGGTAGGAGAACCTTGGGTAGGGGGTCCCGGAGCCCTTCTGGTGTTAAGAGCCCAGGTGCAGCAGCTTAGGGACCTTAGCAAAGACCCCTGAGACTGGTAGAGAGGGGTTGAGACACACTTTTTGCCTTCAGATGGCTAAGAAGAAAAGCAAGAGCTATCCCTGTGGCTTAAGGGCCTGACTCACTTCTACTCTGGATAAACTGCAGAAACTGTGGAGTTCTTATACAACACAAAGGTTGGGGAGGAAAAATGATACTGGACTATTTTTTTTTTTTTTGCCAACCTAGTTAAAGGGAGGCTTAAGCCAGATTATATTTGATATAGACAAAAAAAAAGCCCTTGCCATTTCTCATACCCAATTGATGTGAAAATTCTCACACCTAATATAAAATCAATTAAATGTCATGCATCACTTGTTACAGAAGAAAAAGTAGACATTTGTCTTTTACTCTTAAACATGATGTTAAAATAACTTTGCAATTATAAAAAGATATTGTTTTAAAATAAAATTTATCTAAAATAACTTATGAAAAACGGACAAAATGCTTTTTAAGTTCCTAAGGAGGTTGACAAAATTATGAGGATGAAAGAAGTTTGAGAGTCAAAAAAGGTTTGGAAATGCTGCTGCAGGCAATAGAGTACACAGAAATTTTGTGTGCTTAGTTACTTTTAGCAGAGTGACACAATTAGCTTTGGGGGGTTTGTGTGTGTTATGTTTGTTTGTTTTCAGACAGCATCTTGCTCTGTCATCCACGCTGGAGTGCAGTGCAGTGGGACGATCTTGGCTCACTGCAACCTCCGCCTCCCAGGTTCAAGCCACTGAGCCTGGGAGCCTCTGGAGTAGCTGGGACTCCCTAGTAGCTGGGACTACAGGTGCACGCCACCATACCCAGCTAATTTTTGTATTTTCAGTAGAGACAGGGTGGTCTCGAACTCCTGACCTCAGGTGATCCGCCTGCCTCAGCCTCCCAAAGTTCTGGGATTACAGGCATGAGCCACCACTCCCAGACTGTATGTTGTCTTTTTGTTTTGTGGAGGCAAGGTCTGTGCTCCAGGCTGGAAAAGTAGGAGACCCCAGTTATATAAGACTGTAAATAGTTCAAGAGATGAAGTTTTAGTTAAGACAATCTAGATCTAGATTGCTGAATTTGAGAGATGTTTCTGAGAAAAAAATGGAAAGGACCTTGTGACCCCCATATAACTATAGCCATATCTGTCTTCAAGATCTAGGTCTAGGCTGGCGCTATCCTATAGAATTTTCTATGATGATGGAATATCATCTATATCAAATATTCTATATCTGTCAAATATATCAAATATTCTATATCTGTCCTATCCAATATGAGAGCCTCTAGTTACATGTGAGCACTTGAAACGTAGCTACTTCAATAGAGGAACTAAATTTTATTTATTTTTATTTTTATTTTTTTGAGACAGTCTCACTCTGTCACCCAGGCTGGAGTACAGTGGTATGATCTCGGCTCACTGCAACTTCCGCCTCCCAGGTTCAAGCGATTCTCCTGCCTCAGCCTCCTGAGTAGCTGGGACTACAGACACCCACCACCACGCCCAGCTAATTTTTGTATTTTTAGTAGAGATGGGGTTTCAGCATGTTTGCCAGGCTGGTCTCGAACTCCTGACCTCAAGTGATCCACCTGCCTTGGCCTCCCAAAGTGCCAGGATTACAGGCATGAGCCACCGCGCCCAGCCAGAAACAGAATTTTAAATTTTATTTAATTTTAATTAACTTAAGGTCGGGTGTGGTGGCTCATGCCTGTAGTCCCAGCACTTTGGAAGGCTGAGGTGTGTGGATTGCTTGAGCCCAGGAGTTTGAGACCAGCTGGGCACCATGGCGATACCCTCTCTCTACCAAAAAAAATTAAAAAATTAGCTAGGCATGGTGGCATGGGCCTGTAGTCTCAGCTAATTGGGAGGCTGTGGTAGGAGAATCACTCGAGCTCAGGAGGTTGAGGTTGCAGTGAGCCATGTGTTGCACTCCAGCCTGGGTGACAGAGGGAGAACCTGTCTCAAAAATAAAAAATTTAAATGGTCACATATGATTAGCAGATACCATATTGAACATCACAGGTCTCAGCCATTAATTTGAGCTGCTTGATGAATATCTCCACAGAAATTTTACAAGCACTTCCAACACAATGGTTCATATTCTGCCTCCCACCACATTCACAACTTTTCATGTGTAATGTTGCCTATGTCGTTTAAAAAACACCATCATCTTGTGAGTCATTCAGGGTTAAAACTGAGAAGTCGTTCGTTCATTTCACAAACAACTACGGAGCACTTACTATATGCCAGCCAGTATACTAGGCACTGGAAATACCATGATGAATGTAGTCCTCATAGAAAATGATGAGTTGGTGTCTCTCCCTCTCCCTCTCCCCTCTCCCCTCTCTCTCTCCCCCTTCCCACGGTCTCCTTCCACGGTCTCCCTCTGATGCCGAGCCAAAGCTGGACGGTACTGCTGCCATCTCGGCTCACTGCAGCCTCCCTGCCTGATTCTCCTGCATCAGCCTGCCGAGTGCCTGCGATTGCAGGCGCTCGCCGCCACGCCACGCCTGACTGGTTTTCATGTTTTTTTTGGTGGAGACGGGGTTTTGCTGTGTTGGCCGGGCTGGTCTCCAGCTCCTAGCCGCGAGTGATCCGCCAGCCTCGGCCTCCCGAGGTGCCGGGATTGCAGACGGAGTCTCCTTCACTCAGTGCTCAATGGTGCCCAGGCTGGAGTGCAGTGGCGTGATCTTGGCTCGCTACAACCTCCACCTCCCAGCCGCCTGCCTTGGCCCCCCAAAGTGCCGAGATTGCAGCCTCTGCCCAGCCGCCACCCCGTCTGGGAAGTGAGGAGCGTCTCTGCCTGGCCCCCCATCGTCTGGGATATGAGGAGCCTCTCTGCCTGGCTGCCCAGTCTGGAAAGTGAGGAGCGTCTCTGCCCGGCCGCCATCCCATCTAGGAAGCGAGGAGCGCCTCTTCCCCGCCGCCATCCCATCTAGGAAGTGAGGAGCGTCTCTGCCCGGCCGCCCATCGTCTGAGATGTGGGGAGCACCTCTGCCCCGCCGCCCTGTCTGGGATGTGAGGAGCGCCTCTGCTGGGCCGCAACCCTGTCTGGGAGGTGAGGAGCGTCTCTGCCCGGCCGCCCCGTCTGAGAAGTGAGGAAACCCTCTGCCTGGCAACCGCCCCATCTGAGAAGTGAGGAGCCCCTCCGTCCGGCAGCCACCCCGTCTGGGAAGTGAGGAGCGTCTCCGCCCGGCAGCCACCCCGACCGGGAGGGAGGTGGGGGGGGGGTCAGCCCCCCGCCCGGCCAGCCGCCCCGTCCGGGAGGTGAGGGGCTCCTCTGCCCGGCCGCCCCTACTGGGAAGTGAGGAGCCCCTCTGCCCGGCCAGTCGCCCCGTCCAGGAGGGAGGTGGGGGGGTCAGCCCCCCGCCCGGCCAGCCGCCCAGTCCGGGAGGTGAGGGGCGCCTCTGCCCGGCCGCCCCTACTGGGAAGTGAGGAGCCCCTCTGCCCGGCCAGCCGCCCCGTCCGGGAGGGAGGTGGTGGGGGTCAGCCCCCCGCCCGGCCAGCCGCCCCGTCCGGGAGGTGAGGGGCGCCTCTGCCCGGCCGCCCCTACTGGGAAGTGAGGAGCCCCTCTGCCCGGCCAGCCGCCCCGTCCGGGAGGGAGGTGGGGGGGTCAGCCCCCCGCCCGGCCGGCCGCCCCGTCCGGGAGGTGAGGGGCGCCTCTGCCCGGCCGCCCCTACTGGGAAGTGAGGACCCCTCTGCCCGGCCAGCCGCCCCGTCCGGGAGGGAGGTGGGGGGGTCAGCCCCCCGCCCGGCCAGCCGCCCAGTCCGGGAGGGAGGTGGGGGGATCAGCCCCCCGCCTGGCCAGCCGCCCCGTCCGGGAGGGAGGTGGGGGGGTCAGCCCCCCGCCCGGCCAGCCGCCCCATCCGGGAGGGAGGTGGGGGGGATCAGCCCCACGCCTGGCCAGCCGCCCGGTCCGGGAGGTGAGGGGCGCCTCTGCCCGGCCGCCCCTACTGGGAAGTGAGGACCCCTCTGCCTGGCCAGCCGCCCCGTCCGGGGGCGGGGGGGGTCAGCCCCCCGCCCGGCCAGCCGCCCCATCCGGGAGGTGAGGGGCGCTTCTGCCCGGCCGCCCCTACTGGGAAGTGAGGAGCCCCTCTGCCCGGCCACGGCCCCGTCTGGGAGGTGTGCCCAGCGGCTCATTGGGGATGGGCCATGATGACAATGGCGGTTTTGTGGAATAGAAAGGCGGGAAGAGTGGGGAAAAAATTGAGAAATCGGATGGTTGCCGGGTCTGTGTGGATAGAAGTAGACATGGGAGACTTTTCATTTTGTTCTGTACTAAGAAAAATTCTTCTGCCTTGGGATCCTGTTGATCTGTGACCTTATCCCCAACCCTGTGCTCTCTGAAACATGTGCTGTGTCCACTCAGGGTTAAATGGATTAAGGGCGGTGCAAGATGTGCTTTGTTAAACAGATGCTTGAAGGCAGCATGCTCGTTAAGAGTCATCACCACTCCCTAATCTTAAGTACCCAGGGACACAAACACTGCGGAAGGCCGGAAGGCCGCAGGGTCCTCTGGCTAGGAAAACCAGAGACCTTTGTTCACTTGTTTATCTACTGACCTTCCCTCCACTATTGTCCTATGACCCTGCCAAATCCCCCTCTGCGAGAAACACCCAAGAATGATCAATTAAAAAAAAAAAAAAAAAAAAAAAAAGAAAATGATGATAATGTTTATAATTAACTCTTTGCATCAGGAAAAATAGACTCAGTCCCTTCTCCCTCCTTTGCAAGGGAGTCTTGCAACACCTTCCACATCCAAACATTCACCCCAATACCTCCTCCACTTTCACATCCCTGATAGCAGATATTTTTTTCTCTTCCACTTACTGCTGTATCAATAGTGCACAGAGGAGTGGAAATGGGGGTAGGAGCAGGTGATAAATACTTGGGGAATTAATTTATGTTCTCTTTTCCTTTTTTTTTTTGAGACAGAGTCTCGCTCTGTCACCCAGGCTGGAGTGCAATGGCGTGGTCTCAGCTCACTGCAACCTCTGCCTCCCAGGTTCAAGTGTTTCCCCTGCTTCAGCCTCCCCGGTAGCTAAGACTACAGGTGCACGCCACCACGCCTGGCTAATTTAGTATTTTTAGTAGAGACGGGGTTCCACCATGTTGGCCAGGCTGGTCTCGAACTCCTGACCTCAAGTGATCTGCCCACCTCTGCCTCCCAAAGTGCTGGGATTACAGGCGAGAGCCACCACGCCCGGCTACGTTCTCTTTTTCACCGTGCCACTCTGATATTTTTGTTTCCTCGCTTCTTCCCACTAAACCATGAAAATGGCCTAGCTATGCCAGAGAACTACCATATAAGCTTACTGGAGGTATTCAAAACCTCATTCTTACTGTGTGGCCCTCATTCCAAGGGCAGCAGCAGCATCTGGGAGCTTGCTAGAATTGTAGAAACTCAGTCCCTACCCCAGACTTACTACATCAGAATCTGCTTTTTAACAAGATCCCCCAGGTGATTCATATGCATGTTAAAGTTTAAGAAGTGCTCCTCAAAGCACAGATCTAAGCACATTTTTATCTGGCTTTAAAATCTTTGATGTCTTTCAAACTGCACAGAGTTGTATTTATACCAAGTATTCAGCCTGGCGTTCAAAGCTCTACAGTGTGACCTCTGTTAACTTGTCAATCTTTTCTCTCTCTGAGTCCCTACAGTCCTATGCTCCATCCAGATTGGTGACATCTCTCCTCAAACACATCCAATACGCTTCCCTTTCCCACATCTTTTTTCCAATGTATTCCCTCTTTTTTAAAAGGTTTCCACTGCCTTCCTCTATTCACTCCAACCACCTTCAAAATCCCACTCTTCCTCTGAAGCACACTCAAACCTGAGCTCTCCCAGGTGGTATTTTATAGAGCCCCCTAGTTCAAAATACTGTCTACCTCCCATGTCAGCAACATTTATACCTCTATTAACTCTTAATCACATTCTCTTTCCAGTTATGTGTATATCCATCTCCCCCACTTCACCTCGAGCTCCTAGAGAATGGCGATAGTCTCTAGGTCTGTTGAAATGAATTGAAGGAAAAAGGATTTATAGTGATCTATAGGAAGACTATCCATGGGCACTGTCTCAACTCCCCTCTCCCTGCATCCAGTTCCTCCCATGGCCCAAAGTATGGCAGTTTCTATGGCCTCAGGAGCGGGACCAGTTAGTTTCAAGGGAGGGCTACATCACATACCTCTGAGTTTATCTTGGCTGCCACCTGCTTCCAGCTCCGATTCCTGGAAAACAGTGTCCAAAGCCGCCAAATAAAAAAAACAAACAATAATAGAAGGCTGATATCTGATGGCAGTGGGACGTCCATCCCCCAAATTGGTGCCATTTCTCAACCCCATGCTCTTCTCAGCCAGAGTTTTCTGCCTCAAGGCTGTGACTTCATATGACATCACAATGGGCATCCCAAGGTAAATCTGACAGCATCCAGCCAATGTGCATGCTACTTAGCTCTCTTCTCTGAGCCATACCCAAAGTACAATCTGCTGCCCCTTCCTGCAGCTGTCCACAGGCTCCACTCTGACAGCCAAAGCTCAGGGAAGAACTCCTTTATGACTCTTCTAGGACTGGGCTAGACAGCTTGTCATTAAGTAGGGAGTATGTAGGCAAGGTTTTAAAGAAGCAGGCCTCCCAAGTGGCCTGTTCTGCCCTACAAGCATTTTCTCTGGAGCCAGTCACTCCCTGGAAGTCCAGATATGGTGTTAAATGCCCCAAACCACAAACTAGAATACAAAGTCAAGTAATTTTTATTTTTTTGAGATGGAATCTCACTCTGTCTCCAGGCTGGAGTGCAGTGGCACAATCTCAGCTCACTGCAACCTCCGCCTCACAGGTTCAAGCAATTCTCTGCCTCAGCCTCCCAAGTTGCTGGGATTACAGGCACGCGACACCACACCCAGCTAATTTTTGTATTTTTAGTAGAGACGGGGTTTCACCATGTTTGCCAGGCTAGTCTCGATCTCTTGACCTCGTGATCCACCCGCCTCAGCCTCCCAAAGTGCTGGGATTACAGGCGTGAGCCACCGCACCCGGCCAAGGTCAAGTAAATTTAAGAAAGCTAGGATATTTTAAGTAGGTACTCTCAGAAAATTTGAGATAAACGGTTTCCTAAGTCTAAGGCTTGACACATTTTCTAGCTGCTATTGCATTGAGATGGAAAAGAGATGTCAGAGAGGGAAATTAAATTACCTTAGAGGATCACTCTACCCCAGAATCTACAGTCTCATTTTCCAAGTCTAGAACATTTATTCCATCATGTCATCCAGACTTGACTGGATTCTCTAGGGCTAATTCACTATAAACAAAAAATGTACAAGGAATCAATTCATTCTATAACAAAGATTAATAAAACTGGCCAAGGCATTCTTTTTTCTTATAGGAAAGTTAATCTGGAAAAGCAACTCGATGAACTATTGAACAGCAGGTAATGTCTTAGAGGACAGATGAGGTATCTACCTCATAGAATTTTCAGCCTACAGGGGCAGCCTAAGCAATGTTCTAGAAAAGCCCATCAAGAAGAAAGTAGTTAAATAAATGTGCTATACCCATATTATGAATACTCTGTGGTCACTATACAGATTATAACGATAAAGAATAAGATATGGATATGTAATATGAGCTGAACACACATTAAGTGGCAAGTACTAGTTATATGCCAGCCTGGAGTTCTAAAAAAAGATTAGAACTGAAGACATAGTTTTGGGTTCTTAAAACATTATGTATATAATATATAAAACATATTTATATATTATATATATAGTTTGACAAGAACCTTTCTCTATATGGATATAAAAATGTATTCTTTGTGTCTTAAATATTTACTCACCATTATGTTTGAGATAGCCATCATATTTTGTATAGCTGTAATTCATCATTTTTTAATATTTCATTGTATTATATAACTATTCTATAACATATTTATCCATTATGGTATTGATGGATATTGGGCTTCTTTTCAGTGTTTGCTTATTATAAACAATGCTGTCAAAAACATCCTTGTCCATGCATCTTGGTAAACACAAGTTCCTAATTCTCTATGGCAGTAGTTCTCAAACTTTAAAATGCATTACAGTCATGTGGAGGGTTTATTATAAACCAGATTGCCGGGCCCTACACCTATAGTTGCTGGTTGAGTAGGTTTGGAGTGGAGCCCAAAGATTTGGCATTTCAAAGTTCCCAGGTGATGCTGATGCTGTTGATGCAGGGACCATACTTTGAGAATACCTGCTGTACAGTGTCTACCTAGGAATGGAATTGCTAAGTTATAGCGTATGTGTAACAAACTTTAGTGGACAGTGCCAAGCTGCTTTCCAAAGTGGATATGTCAATTTCTACTTCTACCAGTGGTGAATGGTAGTTCTTCTTGCTCTATTTTCATCTCAACACATGGTATTGTCAAGCTGTTTAATTTAAGCCAATGTGGTGTGTGTGATAGTGGTATTTCATTGTGGTTTTAACTTGAATTTCTCTGATTACTAAAGTTAAAACACACTTTCATAAGTTAATTGGCCATTTAGACTTTAAATAAATTATTGCATTCCAATTGCTAATATTTTGTTTAGAATATTTGCATCTTTTTTTTTTTGAGACAGGGTCTTGTTCTGTCCCCCAGGCTGGAGTGCAGTGGCATGATCACGGCTCACTGGAACCTCCACCTCCCGGGCTCAAGCGATCCTCCCACCTCAGCCTCTCAAGTAGCTAGGACCACAGGCATGTGCCACCATGCCTGGCTAATTTTTGTATTTTTTGTAGAGATGGAATTTTGCCATGTTACCCAGGCTGGTCTTGAACTCCTGGACTCTAGCGATCCACCCGCCTTGGCATCCCAAAGTGCTGGGATTACAAGCGTGAGCCACCACGCCCAGCCATCTATTTTCATGATCAAGGCCAGCCTGAAATTTTTCTCTCTTTTTCTGTCCTCGTCAGGTTTTTAGTGTCAAAGTTATGCTGGATTCAAGAGTTAGAGAATGTTTCCTCTTTTTTTAAATGCTCTGAAAGAGTTTGTGTAAGATTGGAACCCTTTGATCCTTCAATTTTTGGTAGAACTCATCAGCAAAACCATACAAACCTGGAGTTCTTTTTGAGTGAGGATTTTTGACTACATATTCCATTTTTTTGAAGATTATTATACTATTGAGAATGGGGGGGAATAAAAATTAATTACTTTAAAATTAAAAATGAGGGTCTCACTATGTTGCCCCAGCTGGTCTTGAACGCCTGGCCTCTGGCAATTCTCTTGTCTCAGCCTCCTGAGTAGCTGATATTACAGGCACGAGCCATTGTAGCCAGCCATGAGAGGTTTTTTTTGAGTCAGCTTTGGAAGGTATATTTTCTAGTAATTTTTCCATTTAATCTACATTTTCAAATGTATTGACAAAGTTATTCAAATGTCGTCATGTCTCCTTTGTTTTCATGGTGTTGGTTATTTGTGGGTTTTTTCCCCTTTTCTTTGGCCTATCTTGCTAGAGATTGTTCAATTTTGTCAATCCTTTCAAAGAACTAACTTTGTATGTTTGTTTTCTATTTCAATAATTTCTGCCTTTGCCTTATTTCCTCGTTTCTACTTTCTTTGGATGTATTTTGATGCTATTTTTCTAACTTTCTTCTTGAGATGAATGCCTAAATCATTCATTTTCAGCTCTTTCCCCCTAATATATGCAAATCGGGTATGTTTCCTCCCAAGTACTACTTCAGCTGCATGTCACCAGTTGTGATATGTAGAATTTTTGTTATCATTTAGTTCCAACTATTTTCTAGTTCCCATATTGATTTCTTTGATCCATGGATTATTTAGAAATTCATGTTTAAATTTCTACATATATGGGGATTCTACATATATGGTTAGATAACTAGAAAAGTTATCTAACCAAGTCACATTGTAATCAGAATACATACTTCAAATCATTTCAATCCGTTGAAATGTTTGAGATTTTATCCCAGTCTATGGTCAATTATAAAAATTCTATGTGTGTTTTAAAATGAGATGTATTCCACAAGTGATAAAAACAGTCTCTATATGTCCGTTTGGTCAATTTTGCTAGTCTTTATGTTCAAATCTATACTCCTAAGCTTTTGTCTGATTATCCATCAATTACTAAGACAGGCATGTAGAATCACCTATTAATACAGTTGTGTATTTGTTTATATCTCCTTTGAGAGCTGTAGATTTTTGCTTTATATATTTTTAATCATTCTTTAAAATCACAATACATTCCTGGTAAATTAAATATTTTAACACTATGAAGTCCCTGTTCATTTCTAGTAATACTTTTGGCCTTAAGTTATTTTGTCTGATATTAATATTGCTGTACGGTAGATGGACCTGATAGCATAACTTAAGCATACCCCTAAGAATGACCCTGTATGGCAGATACATCTGACAGTATCAACTTAACTTAAGCATAGCCTGAGAATGACCCTGTGTTCTAAGAAGAATGTGTGTTTGGATTTCCAAGCTAAGGAATCCAGAAGTGGCCAATCTGGAGATTTATTTATTCCTTATGTATAATGAACATCTGAACCCCCGGCATGGCCTGTGACATGCAGGACATACAGGGGACTGAAGCCTTTTGTTTTGAGTTAAATGAAAGTTGCCAGGAGGAGGTTGCTAGGAGGAGGGTGCTAAGTGAAAATACTATATAAACTGCATGCTTTTTATAAGCAGTTTGGTTCTCCTGTTTAGCCCACCACCAGTGGACTGCCCTGTATGTAATTTCCCTCAATAAGCCCAATGTCTTCTTTGCTAGCTCCAGGTCTCTTCTCTAGCCTCTGCAACATGATGCTATCCCTACTGAAGTCAATAGGGTTCTGGCATGACAATTGCCATAGCTATTTTCTTTTGGTTGGTATTTCACAGTATATCTTTTCCCATTCTTTTACTATCAACCTTTCTATATGCCTTTGCTTTAATACTGGCTACAAAATAAACAAAATCCATATATATGCTGTTTGCAAGAGACACATCTATAACAAAAAAAGTGTTAATTGGGGCATGTATTTCATTTACCTTTAATGTAATTACCAAAGTATTTGGGCCATGATCTGTCCTCTTAGTACTTCCTGTTTTGTCCTATATTTTAAGTTTCTTTTTCTCTCCTTTTTTTTTTTTTTTTTTTTTTGAGACAGAGTCTCACTCTGTTGCCCACTTTGGAGTGCAGTGGTGTGATCTTGGCTCACTGCAACCTCCGCCTCCCAGGTTCAAGCGATTCTCCTTTCTCAGCCTCCAAAGTAGCTGGGTCTACAGATGTATGCTACCACGCCCAGCTAATTTTTATATTTTTAGTAGAGACAGTATTTCGCCATCTTGGCCAGGCTGGTTTCAAACTCCTGACCTCAGGTGATCCACCTGCCTCAGCCTCCCAAAGTGCTGGGATTACATGTGAGCCACCTGGCGCAGTCTTTTTCTCTCTTTTCTTGCCTTTCAATTAGATGACTATTTTTAATTACTTCATTTTCCCCCTTTACTAATTAGAAATTATACTGTTTTTATTCTTTTAGTGCAAGGCTTGGCAAACTATGGCCTGTGGGCCAAATCCAGCATGCTGCCTGTTTTTGCAAATGAAGATTTATTGGAACACAGCCACACTCATTTTACATATTGTCTACGGCTGTTTTCAAGCTTGCAACAGCAGAGTTGAACAGTAATGACTGAGACCACAGGGCCTGCAAAGACTAAAATATTTACTATCTATCTCTACAGAAAAAGTTTGCCAACCCTGTTTTTAGCAGATACCTTTTAAAATGCAATATGCACACAGCTTATCAAAGCCTTAAATTAATAAAAACTTTTATCTTCTTTATGGAAAAATCAAGGCCCTTAGAATATTTTAACTCAATTTATCCCTTCCCAAATATATGTTATTGTAGTTAGGAATTTTAACTTTATATATTTATTTTTAATTTTTTAAAAAATTTAATTTTTAGTGTTTGTGGGTACATAATATATATTATGAAATACATGAGATATTTGTATTATGATACTGTATTCCATAATACATGTTTTTATTTTTAGATCATAATACATATTCCATAACACAATTATGATACTATGATTAGTATTAGTCCATTCTTGCATTGCTATAAAGAAATATCTGAGACTGGGTAATTTATGAAGAAAAGAAATTTAACTGGCTCACTGTTCTGCAGGCTGTACAGGAAGCACAGCAGCTGCTGGGGAGGCCTCAGGAAACTTACACTCATGGCAGAAGGGGAAAGGGAAGCAGGCTCATTTCACACAGCCGAAGCAGAAGAAATAGAGAATGAGGTCCCACACACTTGTAAACAACCAGCTCTTTTGAGAAGTCATTCACTATACCAAGGGGTATAGTACTAAACCATTCATGAGCACTCCACCCCCATGATCCAATCACCTCCCACCAGGCCCCATCCCCAACACTGGGGATTACAATCCAACATGAGATTTGGGTGAGGACACAGATCCAAACCATATCACATGCAGTGCAGAATAATCACATCATGGAAAATTGTGTATTCATCCCCTCAAGCATTTATCCTCTGTGTTACAAAGAATCCAATTACACTCTTAATTATTTTTAAATGTACAATTAACTGATTATTGACTTTAGTCTCCCTGTTGTGCTATTAAATACTGTGCCTTATTCTTTTTTTTTTTTTTTTTTTTGAGACAGGATACTGCTCTGTCACCTAAGCTGGAGTGCAGTGATGCAATCATGGCTCACTGCAGCCTCAACTTCCCAGGCTGAAGGGATCCTCCTGCTTCAGCCTCCTTAGTAGCTGGGACTACAGGCATATACCACCATGCTTAGCTAATTTTTCTTTTATTTTTTGTAGAGATGGGCTCTCGCTATGTTAACCATGCTGGTCTTGAACTCCTGGCTCAAATTATCCTCCCGCCTCAGCCTCCAAAAGTGCTGGGATTACATGCATTTGCCACTGTGCCCACCCTTATTCATTCTATTTTTTTTGGTACCCATTAACAATTCCCACCTCCCCACCACTACCCCTCCACTACCCTTCTCAGCCTCTGGTAACCATCCTTCTATTCTCTATCTCCATAAGTTCAATTATTTGTTTGTTTGTTTGTTTGAGACGGAGTCTTGCTCTGTCACCCAGGCTGCTGTGCAATGGCACGATATCGGCTTACTGCAACCTCTGCCTCCCAGGTTCAAGCCATTCTCCTGCCTCAGCCTCCCAAGTAGCTGAGATTATAGGTGCCTGCCACCACACCCAGCTGATTTTTGTATTTTTAGTAGAGAAGGGGTTTTGCCATGTTGCCCAGGCTGGTCTTGAACTCCTAACCTCAGGTGATCCACCTGCCTCAGCCTCCCAAAGTGCTGGGATTACAGGTGAGCCACCATGCTCAGCCTGTTTTGATTTTTAGATCCCACAAATAAGTGAGAACATGCAACATTTGTCTTTCTGTGCCTGGTTTATTTCACTTAACATAATAAGTGAAATAAGTTCTATCCATGTTGTTGCAAATGACAGAATCTTATTCTTTTTATGGATGAATAGTACTCCATTGTGTATATGTACCACATTTTCTTTATCCATTCATCTGTTGATGGACACTTAGGTTGCTTCCAAATTTTGGCTATTGTGAACAGTGCTGCAACAAACATGGGAGTGCAGATATCTCTTTAATATACTGATTTCCTTTCTTTTGTCTTTATATCCAGCAGTGGTATTGTTCTCCGTAATGGTTGTACTAATTTACATTCCAACAGTATACAAGTGTTCCCTTTTCTACACATTCTCTCCAGCATTTGTTGCTGCTTGTCTTTTGGATAAAAGCCATTTTAATTGGAGTGAGATAATATCTCATTGTAGTTTTGACTTGCATTTCTCTGATGATCAGTGATGTTGAGTACTTTTTCATATGATTGGTTGCCATTTGCATGTCTTCTTTTGAGAAATGTCTATTCAAATCTTTTTTTTTCTTTTTCTTTTTTTTTCTTTTTTTTTTTTTTTTGAGACGGAGTCTCGCTGTGTAGCCCAGGCTGGAGTGCAATGGTGCAATCTCAGCTCTCTGTAACCTCCACCTGCTGGGTCCCAGTTCAAGCAATTCTCCTGCTTTAGCCTCCCTAGTAGCTGGGATTACAGGCACGTGCCACCATGCCCAGCTAATTTTTGTATTTTTAGTAGAGACAGGGTTTCACCATGTTGGCCAGGCTGGTCTCGAACTCCTGACCTCGTGATTCGCCCGCCTTGGCCTCCCAAAGTGCTGGGATTACAGGCATGAGCCACCGCACCTGGCCGGCTATTCACATCTTTTGCCAATTTTTAAATTGGATTATTAGATTTCTTCCTATAGAGCTGAGCTCCATATATATATATATACATATATATAGTTATTAATCCCTTGTCATATGGGTAGTTGTAAAAATTTTCTCCTATCCTGTGGATTGTCTCTTCACTTTGTTGATTATTTCCTTTGCTGTGCAAAAGCTTTTTAACTTAATGTGATCCCATTTTTCCATTTTTGCTTTGGTTGCCTGTGCTCGTAGAGAATTACTCAAGAAACTTTTGCCCAGGGTAATGTCCTAGAGAGTTTCTCCCAGTGTTTTCTGATAGTAGTTTCATAGTTTGAGATTTAAGTCTCTAATCCATTTTGATTTGATTTTTGTATATGGCAAGAGATACGGGTCTAGTTTCATTCTTCTGCATATGGATATACTACCTGAGACTGGGTAATTTATGAATAAAGGAGGTTTAATTGACTCACAGTTTCACAGGCTTAACAGGAAACATGACTGGGAGGCCTTAGGAAACCTACAATCATGGTGGAAGGTGAAGCGGAAGCCAACATCTTCTTCACATAGCAGCAGGAAAGAGAGAGAGCACAAAGGGGAGAGTGCCACACACTTTTAAACCATAAGATCTTGTGAGAACTCACTCACTATCATGAAAACAGAATGGGGGAACTCCACCCCCATGATCCAGTCACCTCCCACCCGGCCCCTCCCACAACATTGGGAATTATAATTCAACATGAGATTTGGGTGGCGACACAGAACCAAACCATATCAGAGATCCAATTTTCCCAGCATCATTTATTATAGAAACTGTCTTTTCCCCAATGTATGTTCTTGGTACCTTTGTCAAAAACGAGTTCACTGCAGGTGTGTGAATTTGTTTTTGAGTTCTCTATTCGGTTACATTGGTCTATGTATCTGTTTTTATGCCAGTACCATGCTGTTTTCGTTACTATAACTCTGTAATGTAATTTGAAGTTAGGTAATGGATTCCTCTAGTTTTGTTCTTTTTGCTCAGGATAGCTTTGGTTATTCTAGGTCTTTTGTGGTTCCATATAAATTTTAGGATGTTTTTGCTATCTCTGTGAAGAATGTCATTGATATTTTGATAGAGATTGCATTGAAGCTGTAGATTGCTTTGGGTACTACGGACATTTTAACATTGATTCTTCCAATCCATGATTATAGAATATCTTTCCATTTTTCTGTGCCATCTTCAATTTCTCTCATCAGTGTTTTATAGCTTTCATTGTAGAGATCTTGACAGGTGCAGTGGCTCAAGCCTGTAATCCCAACACTTTGGGAGGCTGAGGCAGGTGGATCACAAGGTCAGGAGTTCAAGACCAGCCTGACCAACATGGTGAAACCCCGTCTCTACTAAAAAAAAAAACAAAAAAACAAAAAAACAAAAAATTAGCCAGGCATGGTGGTGTGCACCTATAATCCCAGCTACTCAGGAGGCTGAGGCAGAAGAAACGACTGGACCCGGGAGGCGGAGGTTACAGTGAGCCGAGATCACACCACTGCACTCCAGCCTGGGCAACAGAGCAAGACTCTGTCTCAAAAAAAAAAAAAAATCACATCTCCTTCAAATAAGGATAATTTGACTTCTTCCTTTCCAGTTTGGATGCCCTTTATTTCTTTGTCTTGTCCGATTGCTCTAGCTAGGACTTCCAGTACTGTGTTGAATATCAGTGGTGAAAGTGGGGATCTTTGTCACGTTCCAGATCTAAGAGGAAAGGCTTTCAGTTTAAATTTATTTTTTGAATAAACTTTTTATTTTTGAAAAATTTCAGGTTTACAGAAAAGTTACAAAGATAGTACAGCAAATTCCCATATATATTTCACCTAGTTTCACCTAACATTAACATCTTACATAAGTTTGGTACGTTTGTCAAAACTATGAGATTAACATTGGTATATTTACTATTAACTAAACTCCAGATTTCATGCAGTTTCACCAGTTTTGCCACTAAAGTCCTTTATCTTTCCAGGATCCAACCGAGGGTAGCACCCTGTAGGTGAGTCATGCTTCCTGAGTCTCTTCTGGTCTATGACAGTTTCTCAGTCTTTTCTTGTTTTCCATGACTGAAAATTTTCAGGTATTTTGTAATATGAGCAGGTATTTTATAATATGTCCCTAAAGCTGGGTTACTGTGATGTTTTCTTTATGCTTAGACTGAGGTTATGTGTTTGGGGGAAGAATACCACAGAGGTGACATGCCTTTCTCATGATATCATATCAGGAGGTGCGTGATACCTGCTGGTGATGCCCATCTTGATTACTTGATTAGGGTAGTGCTTGCCTGGTTTCTCCACCGTAAAACCCATTCCCTTTCCCATACTCTGTTTTTTTGTAAGTGAGCCCCTAAATCTAACCCACATTGGAGGAGAGGTGGTGTGGGATGATTAAGCTCCATTTCCTAAAGGAGTGTGTGTGTGTGTGTGTGTGTGTGTGTGCGCGCGCGTGTGTGTTTATTTAGAATTCTTCTTTAGGAAAAATTGGTACTTTCCCCCACTTTATTTATTCAATCATTTGCTTATAACGGTACGAATTCACGCGTACTCATGTATTTTTTTAAACCAAGTGTTTTTTTTAATTTTATTTATTTATTTGAGACAGGGTCTCATTCTGTCACCCAGGCTGGAGTGCAGTGGCATGATGACAGCTCACTGCAGCCTCAACCTCCTGGGCTTAAGAAATCGATCCTCCCACCTCGCTTCCCAAGTAGCTGGGACTGCTGTCGCCTACCACCATGACCAGCTTGTTACTTATTTTGTTGCTCAAATTGTTCCCACTTTAGGCACTAGGAGCTCTTTCACATTGGCTCTTGTATCCCTTTGACATATTGTCATCCTTGTGGAGGTTTTGAGCAATTCTTTACTTTCTGTGACTACAAGATGCTCCAGGGATCCTCTTCCTGTCTTTTTCCTTGTCTTTTCCACAGCACCCCAGTTACTAGCTTAAAAATGACCCACTTCTCTCTCCCAGGATGGGAGCATTTTGCATCACCTAGATATAGTACCTGTCCTCTCAACCCTAGGATTTGACTCACCTGTCCAATTGGGTCCAACCCTAAGTTTCCATTGGATCTTAGGCATTTTGCTGTATTTGTAGAGCCCATCCCTGGAACCAGATGGAGACCCCTCTGTCTCCTACCTGGTCCCAACATCCTCTTTCAACGTTATAGCTTATCTAATATTCAAGAGCTGGCTCCAGGCTGTGTAACATTCAAAACAATCTGAATGTTAGACCGGACGAATGTTGGCCAGGTGTGGTGGTTCACACACACGATCCCAGCACTTTGGGTGGCTAAAGCAGTAAGATCACTGGAGGCCAGGAATCAAGACCAGCCTGAGCAACATAGCAGGGCCCCATCTCTACAAAAAAAAAATTAAAAATGAGCCAGGTGTGGTGGTGCACATTTGTAGTCCTAGCTACTCGGGAGGCTGAGGCAGGAAGATTGCTTGAGCCAAGGAGTTCGAGGCTGCAGTGAGCTATGACCGCACCACTGCACTGCAGCCTGGACAACATAGTGAGACACTTTCCTTAAAAAAAAAAAAAAAGAGAGAGAGACCATCTAAATTATGAAAAGAATAGCTAGCTAGATTTTGGAGACGAGTTCATGAGTTCCATATATATATATGGATATATATTATATATTCCATATATATGTGTGTGTGTGTGTGTGTGTGTGTGTGTGTGTGTGTGTGTGTGTATAACGTCAGGCTTAGAGTATGTGCGATATCCAAATATATTTTGTCCCACCCCCTCTTGTTTTTTTTTTCTGTTTTAGAGCCAGGGTCTTGTAATGTGGCCCAGCCTGGCCTTGAACTCCTGGACTCAAGTGATCCTCCCATCTCAGCCTCTCAAGTAGCTAGGATGGCACACCTAGCCCCCTTTTGCTTTTGATCCAGCAAATATATGTGCTGGGAAATTGTTTTCTTCATCTTCCACAATCTAATCCAGTCTTCAGGCCCAGGCCCTTTAGTCCTTTCTACATAATTACTGCCTTGTATTAATAATGGATTATTCTCTTGCTGTTTTTGCCCTCAGATGTTTACTTTCTCCAAATAACTGCAAAAGTTGTCACCCTATCATTTGTGTCTGGATAGTTCTAAAAAAATCTTTGAACTTCTTTAGCTCTGCCTGGAGCACAAATCCCATTGACAATGACCAGATTCTCTGCTATCAGATCCATATCCCAGTGTGAATCTTCAAACCTTCTTGCGTTTTCTTTGGCTGTTCCTTTACCCCACCCCAGCCTCCTTTCTTCCAAAACTTTCCTTGACTCTTGGCCTACCCTGTAATTTCAGCAGCTCTCTGTACTTATCCCGCTGTTTAATCCACTTCAACTCTGTCTTGTATTCTAATTGCTATGTGCTTGTGAGTTTCTAGGGGGTAGGCATCAGATCTTAGTCATCTTCATCTCTGCCACAATGCCAGAGTGTGTCTAGCTTCTAATGTCCCCCAAGGCTATCCCACAATATTCATAATGTCCCACAATAATGTCCCACAATATTCATAATACCTGAATATTGTGTCCAACTACATAAGAATTGAATTCACTTGATGTCTTCATGCCATCCACGTACTTGGCAACTAAAAGAACTCAGGGCTTCTAGAGTTCTTCTGCATCCAGCCCTGGAGAAATCTAACCCTGTGCCCTATCCCCTCCAAATGTGGGAGGGGAGCTACTGTACAGTTGGCATCATCAACAGGATCAAGGGGTGCTCTGCCCTTTGGGGTCCCAGAATGCTAGGTATCTTCTCAGACTTGACACTGTTCATGACACCATGCTGAGAGATGAACTGACCCGATGAAAGAACGTGGTAGAGAGTTGTGGGTGAAGAGAAGCAGAGGGACTTTGCAGGAGCCTTTCCTAACTTTAGCCATCTTGAATTTGGGAGAGGTGTTTGTGGAAGATGAAAGGGGTGGTACTCAGGAAGCATCGTGAGAGTAGTGGCTGGGGAAAGGGGGATTACTGATCATCCAAGGCATCAGTGTGAAGATGTGGAACAGGAAAACAGAGCTCACATAGAGGCTGCAGGCCCTCAGATGCACAGAGGGGCCTATGGCCACCTTAAAAAGGTTGATTACTCTATCCTCATAAAACCAAAATCTGGCTCCTTTGCAGTCACCCTCCTGCCTAAAAGTTCCAGGGACCTTTCCAGAGAGTTTCATCCCCAGAGGAATGTTCCTGAGTATCTATTACCTGGATATTTCTCAGGCACAAGGAGGAACCAGCTCTCTACTGTCAGGGCCATATATCACAGGCCCTAAAGAGCTGGCATGAATCTAGGATGAACAAGGGTGTCTTTGATTTGTCAAAACATGGGGTAGCTGATGTCTAAAATGTACAGCCCGGGGTTTCTAGTGTTTGTTGGGTCCCACCACCAAGGGCTTTCAGCACCTCCAGAGTTCCTTATGTTCCTCTTACAAACACGGGGCAGGGGATGTGACCCTCATTTCATGGTCTAATGCGTGGATGTAGCAGTCATTCTAGATCTTGTCATGTCTGATTAAGACTGCCCTTTTTCTGGGTTTCCTATGTTAGGTACACAACTTCTTCCCTCTTCCCCTGGAATTATCTAAAAGTTCCCACCTCTCATTGTGTGTCTGTGTGGGATTGGAGTGTGTGTGCACGCATGCACACGTGGCTGCATGTTGGTAATGAAAATATAGGGATGCCAGTATAAGGCTTGTGTTAGGGACCAATGAAATGGAGTTGGGGACAGAATTAAAGAAACAAATCTGCTGTTAAGACCAACCCATGCCACCCATCCTATCCCACCTCTGATCTACTGTTTGATTTACTGACTTTGAAAGGTTAACTTTCCAAAATAAGACATTTCATTTTATTTCTGAAATCAGAATAAGTCGGTGAGAGTAGAAACCACTAGGTCGAGAGCAAGAACTCTCCCCCAAAGTGGAGAGAATATTTCTCCCTACCCTGGGCTGCGGATGCCCTGGAAACGGGGCTTCTTCCTCCCACATGTTCTGCTGGCACAAGTCCCCTTGGGCGGGCTGGGCTGAAGTGGGCAGGGTTGGGCCCCTTTCACCCACCCAGAAACATGGGTTCACTGAACGTCAGGCTCTAGGATCTCGAGGGGGTCCGCAGTGCGCTTCTGACCTGGCCCAGCAAGAGCACTCCTGACAGCCTCACAGACAGAAGGAGCTGCAGCCAGGTGTGCCTGAGCCTCAGTGATCGAGCACCGGAATAGGAGGCTCAGCAAGGCGATGGGTATCACCTGTGGGGAAGAGGCAGTGGGCACTGAAGCCTGAGGGAATGAGGTCATCAGAGAAAGAACCCCGGAGGAAGGTCGGGCGCAGTGGCTCACGCCTGTAATCCCAGCACTTTGGGAGGCCGAGGTGGGCAGATCACTTAAGTTCAGGAGTTTGAGACAAGCCTGGCCAATATGGCGAAACCCCATCTCTACTAAAAATACAAAAATTAGCCAGGCATTGGTGGCTGGCACCTGTAATCCCAGCTATTTGGGAGGCTGAAGCAAGAGAATCTCTTGAACCCGGGGGCAGAGGTTGCAGTGAGCCGAGATCGCGCCACTGCACTCCAGCAGCCTGGGTGACAGAGCAAGACTCTCTCTCAAAAAAAAAAAAAAAACAGAACCCTGGAGGAGTTAAAGCATTTGATACAGGAATCAGGAGCCACTAGGTTAGATGCAAATAGGATGTTATTAAGATTAGAAGGTGGTAACAAGGTGGATTAAGAGCAGAAAGAAACCTTCACTTTGACCAGGAAAACTCCTATTCATCCTTCAAAACCCAGTCCAAAGACCCCATGAATGTGGAGGTCCTTGTGAGCAGAGTGCCACTGAGCTTTGTAAACCCAGTGCCGAACAAACTTCCTGACACACTGAAAGTACTCAAAAAGTATTTGTTGAATGACCAGCAGTGGGCAGGATACCTGTTCCTTCTCATGTGCAACCTGGACATGGCAGGAGATGGGAGCAGCCCGAATATCATCTGACAGTGGCTGGGGAAAGTGGATCGCTCGGAGGAGGCTCTCGATGCATCGAGCCTTGGACTGTCCAGAGAACCGCTAAGGAAGAAGTGGTAAGATCAGTGTCAGGCTAAAGGCCAGAGGAACTAAGAATGGAGTCAAGGGAGAAGAATAAACTATGAGAGTGAGAGGCTGGGATCCCGAGGCCTGGCTATAGAGGCTGTAGATGATTTGTCCATGTTGGCAATCCTAAATTGTAATTCCCAGGTGTAAAGAAAAACTAGGTTAAAGGGGTTGGTGGTGGGCTTGACTGGCTGGGTTAAACTGGAGGATTAATGGCAAATTGCTCAAATTTGCATGTGTGTCCCACCAATCCTGTAGGTTGGTAATCTGGACTCCCTCTCTCTAGTTTCCTCTGTAACCAAATCCATCTTGCACACTAATGTAAGACTGTTCATCTGCAAACACTGCTTCCATTTTGTCACTACCCTCCTCTCTGTCTAGCTCAGCATTGTCCAGTAGAAATATAATGCAAGGCTGGGCACAGTGGGTCACACCTGTAATCCCAGCACTTTGGGAGGTCAAAACAGGAGGATTACTTGAGCCCAGGAGTTCGAGACCAGCCTAGGCAACACAGCAAGACCCCATCTCTACAAAAAATAAAACAAATTAGCTGGGCATGGTGGCACCTGCCTATCGTCCCAGCTACTCAGGAGGCTGAGGTGGGAGGATTGCCTGAGCTCAGGAGTTTGAGGCTGTAGTGAGCCGGATGGTGCCAATGCACTGCCCTCCAGCCTGGGTAACAGCGTGAGACCCTGTCTCTAAAAAAAATAAAAATAAAGAAAAAAATATAATGCAAACCACATATGTAAGTTTAAGTTTTCAGTAGCTGCATTAAAAAAAGAAATAGGTGAAATTGGCCAGGCACAGCAGCTCACACCTGTAATCCCAGCACTTTGAGAGGCTGAGGCAGGTGGATCACAAGGTCAGGAGTTGGAGACCAGCCTGGCCAATATGGTGAAATCCCGTCTCTACTAAAAATACAAAAAAAAAAAAAAAAATTAGCTGGGTGTGGTGGCGCATGCCTGTAATCCCAGCTACTCAGGAGGCTGAGGCAGGAGGATCACTTGAACCCAGGAGGTGGAGGTTGCAGTGAGCCGAGATCATGCCACTGCACTCCAGCCTGGGTGACAGAGTGAGACTCCATCTCAAAAAAAAAAAAAATGTGATTTCACCTATTTCTCCTGACCTTGTGATCTGCCCGCTTTGGCCTCCCAAAGTGCTGGGATTACAGGTGTAAGCCACCACACCTGGCCTGAAATCAATTTTAATAATATATTTTATTTAACCCAATATATAACCCAATGTAAACAATATTAAACATTATTAGTCAGATATTTTGCAATATTTTTCTATATTCGGATTTTGTATTTTGAAATCCAGTGTGTATTTTGCAACTAGAGCACACCTCAATTTGTTTTTTTGTGGCTTTTTTTAATTTTAATTTTATTTTTTGAGAGATAGTCTCACTCTGTCACCTAGGCTGGAGTGCAGTGGCACTATCTTGGCTCACTGAAACCTCCACCTCCCAGATTCAAGCTATTCTCCTGCCTCAGCCTCCCTAGTAGACAGGACTATAGGCCTGTGCCAACATGCCCGGCTATTTTTTTATTTTTTTTATTTTTAG